>NC_000001.11:208336102-208487617 GCF_000001405.40 Homo sapiens
TATTGTTTAGATGATATTTAAAATCATGAAGGCAGAGGAATGGACTTGACCTCCAGAAGACCTTTCTCAGATCAGGATTCTGGGACACAGATTTTCGCAAGCAAGTCTGTGCTCTGGGCACTGAAGACAATGCATCTTCATTGAAAGGCGCTCCATCCTTCTCCCAGCTTGCAGCACAGGGCTGGTTCCACTCATTAGCGGGCAGGCCCGTTTCTCAGGCGCTGGCCTGCTCTTCTTAAGCAACTATTGTCTCCTTTCCTATTCAGCTGTCAGCTCATTCCCTATGATGCTGCTGACTTTCAGCCTGAAAAGGGTCTTTTCCCTGCTGGGCAGTGAGGCAAGCTCCACCCAAGGGGTTGCAGCCCCTCCTCTCTGCTTCAGAGAAAGAGCCGGCATCCTCCTAATACCATCCAGTGATCTTAGCTGGCCCTAACCCAGTGAAAATAAGGAGATGTGAAGATGAGTACATTAATAACTCTTATTCATATTTCTAGATACCTCTAGGGTTGGGTAGACAGCTTATGTGGAGGCAAAATATATTAGTTTAGGAGTAAAAAACATGAAACATGATGACAAATCCACCAAGGGTCAAATGAACCATGCATTTATTTTTAGAGATTAGGCAAAACCCCAAAGATTCCATGCAATATTACCTGGGAGAAGTACTAAGGCTAAAAGGCCAGATTCTGAGGTTCTTGTTTTCACTGTGGAACTGACCAGTTAGTTTATCTGAGTCCAACATGTTGCAAGGCTAGTGACTGATGATAAATCACTTGGCCAGAGGGTGAGCCTAATGCCTCTCTGTACCAGCTTAAAAACAGATCTACTCATAGACGTATTGTGTTTTATGGTACATAAAAGAGTAGCAGTCTTAAATTTGGAAAATTGTATTATTCTCTAGACACACCTCTCACTAGTTTGCCTTCTGGATTCCAATTTATATTAAAATAGATTGAGAAAAGAGGAAGCAGAAAAAATATTGTAATTCTTTTTTTTTTTTTTTGGAGCAGGGTCTTGCTCTGTTGCCCAGGCTGTAGTGCAGTGGTATGAACATAGCTCACTGTAACCTTGAACTCTTGGGCTCAAGAGATCCTCCCACCTCAGTCTGCTGAGTAGTTAGGACTGCAGGTGCATGCCACCACACCCAGCTAATTTTTTAAAAAAAATTATGTAGAGACAAGGTCTCGCTTTGCTTCCCAGGCTGGTCTCAAACTCCTGGCCTCAAGTAATCCTCCTGCCTGGCCTCACAAAGTGTTGGGATTACAGGCATGAGCCACTGTGCCTGGCTTTGTAATTCTATATAAACTGGAGTTTTAGTGATCATTATTGAGAAAATATTTCCAAAAAATGAAAAATAATATATTGCAACCCCCAAACCAGTCATCTTTCTCTTTCCTCCTGGGGTGGCTCCAGGTAAACCTTGTTTGGAATGCCCCGGACAGGACAGACTGGCTGCAGCATTGCTATAGCATCTCTCCTGGGCTTGCTGGTGATGGAGGCAGGTGAAATCGTGGCTTGGGGAAGATAGAAAGGTGAAAAGTTCATGATATACTTGAAGCTGAAACAATGAAAATTGTATATCCATTAGAGGGAAGAGAAGAGGGAATTTCTAAAATTGCTAATGGGACTAATTTGCCCATTTTCCCTTGAGAGGCAGGTTCATCCCACACTTCAGGATGTTATGGATCTCTTGCAGTTTCCTGCTGTCTTACGAATTTTCTGTCACGTGGCATCTCTTTTCTCCCTTGCTTTATTCTTTGGCATCCCTTTTCTCCACCTCAGGCTTCCAGATAATCAGCCTCATGATGCCAGGTGACTTGCTCCCGTTCAGCATAATTGAGTCTTCACATTCACTTGAAACTTGGGGCCCTTTGGAGCTGGCCAATCCTGGTAATTAAAATGTACCCTTCATCTTTAATTGCTTCATTTAACATCTAGTGCAATGGTTTAGGAGGGCATGTGCCCTCTGCAACGATCTGGTGTGCCCCAGATAACTGACAAGCAGCACCTCTTGCCCCTGGCTCAGGAAGATTAGTCTGTTTGGGGGCTGGGCATCTTCAAATTCCAGCCATCCTTTGACCCACTGTGCTTTCTCACTTGCTTGGGAAATGTAATTTTAATTTCCTCTGCCTTCCTGGGTGTCAAGTGGGGACAGTGTCTGCCCCACCCTCACATACAGAGAAGATATTACATCTCCCAGGAAACTTATCATTGCACAGACCACACACTCTTACCTGAATCAGGGTGCAAGGGAGTGGGGAGAAGCTTAGGGCTGGAAGGGAAAAATCTGAGTCTGAGTTGCAACTCTGCTAGTTCCTAAGGGGGATGTGGGGGCCAGGCCCTTGCTGCATTCCCTCAAGTCTCACTCTCCTTTCTTGCAAATGGTGCAGTGACACCCACACCACAAGGTTACTGGGGGGACTAAATGAAGCAAGTGAGAGAAGTTTGGTAATGCCTTAAACAGATGAAAAAAAAAATGTAAGTTAAGATTGTGGCACAGAGGCCATCTGGGATCATGAGTGTGACTAAAAGAGATGGCCTCTCCCTTGCATCCTTTAAGCATGGCTGTGGGAGGGACAGCGGAAGAACCAGGCATGAGTTGGGTATGGCAGGAGGGGGTGATGATGCTTACAGGGGGAGTGCTGCTGCAGGTGGCCTCAAGGTCATGATTCTTTGCCTCCTCTTCTCTATATTGATTCTCCTAAAGAAAGTTTGTTGGGTGGCAGGGGCAGGCCCCTTCCTGCCAGAGGGATTTCATGGTGCCACTGGAAATCATGGATGAGGTGGCAGGAATAGGGAGCAGAATCTCTTGCTGGTAATTTGAAGAATTGGTCAATGTGAAAAGATAGGATTACATTTTCACAAATAATTTCATATGTTTAAGTCCCTTGGAGAAAGTCTAGCAAAGTGGTTGAGCATTCCTGGGAGCAGAGAAAATTATGTTGGTGTTACTAAGACGTCTCCAAGTTGAAAGTGTAGAAAAAAAGGTAAAAGTACTGCCATGTCCCTCTGAAATTTTAAACGAGCTTAACGATACTTTGAATTGAGCAACTTCTACCTCTTAAGCATCAAAAAATATTAGAGCTTCCATTTGTAGAACATGTGTGCGTTTGTGTGCATTCCTGTGGGTACCTGTGCACATTTGGGTGGATGGGATATGGGGAGAGGAGAATCCTTCATCTGGATGGGGATGAGATGATATGGGAAGAAAATGCTAAGAGCTGGGCATTTTGAACTGGCCTGGTGATTTGGAGAAAAATTGACCCTCGGTGAATGACAGATTTTGCAAATAAAAATACAGGATGCCCAGTTAAATTTGAATTTCAGATAAACAACAAATACCTTTTTAGTATACATAAGTAGCATGAAATATTTAGAACATACTTATAGTAAATAATTATTTGTTGTTTATCTGCAATTCAAATTTGGATGGGCATCCTGTGTTTTATCTGGCAACCCTACTTGGGGTAGAGTGGTGTGCAATAGCAGTGTCTTTGGACTATGAAAGAAGTATACAACTATTAGTGTTCTTCCAGTGTTTATGGTGTCTATAAGAACCAGAAACTTGGGAGCAGAAGGTTTAAGACCTTGTACCCAATCAAGTGTTTGGAAAATATTTTGTCATATACTGGAGAATAATGAATATGTTGAGAAAACCACCTGGTTATTCAGCACAGAATCACAGAATTCTGCATTTATTCAACACCAATCTTTTTAAATCCTTTCATTAACAAAGCATTTATTGAGCACCTAATATATCCCAGACATTCTGTTTGCTGCTTGAGTAACTAAGATAGAAAGCCAATTGTTATACTATGTTAGTTGGACTGCTTAGATTATAAGGAAAAAGGGGAGATCCATTCAAGAAAATCGAAGATGTCTTTTTCTCAGATAGTACATGTTTATCTCAGATTTCCTCTAAATTTCTGTTCTGTTCTCTTTTCTGCCAGCCAGCGTTTTCTGCTTACTCATTTTCCTCATGATCCCAAATGTCTACCATGGTAGCTAAAATTATACAGCCTTCCAGTTCCAACACCCACCCTCAGTATTGGCAAGTATGACTACTTATTTTAAATCCTTGGAGAGAATTGAGTTGGCCAGCTTGTCTTTTAAATACTCTGTCATAGGGTGCTCTGCAGATTTTGCTTTCCTGGCTCTTGGGTCAAGTGTCCACCCCAGTTCAATCAGCTGTGACCAGGAGAAGGGGCAAGATGGTGCTGCAGATTGTCTAGTATATTCAAAGTAATTGTCTAGCTCCTTACTTTCTCTTCTTCTCACACGTTTAGTTCCAAAAATGTCCCTGCCTCAGTAAGCAATTATTTTTAAAGCTTAGTGGTAAAAAGTATAGACTATGGAGTCAGACTGACTGGATTTGGAACGTGGTTCCATCATTTTAGTTTTATTCTGCCCTTAAGAAAGTTATTTAAACCTTTCTATGCCTTAGTGTCCTCACCCATAAAATTAGGATAAAGAGAAGAACCACCTCATAGAGTTGTTGTACAAATACATGGAAAGCACTTAGGATGGATCAGAAGGTGAGCACTTAAGGAATAGTGGCTATCATTATCAGCATTTTCACATATACAGGCACGCATTGACTCAGCCTCTTCCCATTAGGAGAAAATACGATGTCGTGACCTGTATTGCATCCAGAGTTTAAGTCAAAGGGCCACTTCAAAGGCTTATTTTCTAGGTGAACTCCATTTATTCCCTGGTAGCATTCCAATAGACTTAAAATGGTATATTTAATCAATATAAAATACCAGAGCAAAACACAAATTATGATAATAAAGAAACAAAATATAATAAAATTGTAATACTGATTCTTACTCAGAAAAAGAGGGAGAAAAACATTATAGAACACCCACCTTATCTTGCAGGAGAGTCCTTCAGCCTTGCATATACGGTATCGTTTTGTTCCTCTAACAGGATCCATTTGTTGGTGATAAACTATTGGAAGAAGTTTGGGTAGCCCAGGCCTCTTTCTAAGACCTATTCCAGTTGGTGCATGCAAAGGCCAGCATCTGTTAAAATAAGGCTGAGTCTTTTAAGAACAGCCTAGCACCTTTTACAAAAAACAGCCACTTGCCCACAGACACAGCTATAAAAAGCTGTTACTGTCCTGCAAAGGTCAAATCCCATGTGGCCCATGGAAGCCTCAAGCCTCTGCCTCTGCTACACAGAAGCATCAGCCTCTGCTACACAGAAGCATCAGCCTCCCCATGTGTTACTTTCATGTACAAATGTCAGCCTTTGTGCCTATCTCAAAGGCCTCTCAATCAGTGCATTAACTGTTGAGGTTTTGGGGCTGCTAATTGCTCTCACTCCTTAAATCCCCCTTTAAGTTTGTAATCAATTGAAAAATAGAAGAATAAAACATGGAGTTAAAACAATAGTAATACTAGAGTTGAGAATGCATGGTTTGTATTTGTAATCAGACTTATTTTAAATCACCCTTTCTTGCCTGTTAATCCGTAATATTGGAAACAGAGAGACAAGAGCCTCCAAGCCCACCACTGTGAGACCACCTGAGACCTCCAATTCTCTTTTGGAATTAGGAGTGGAAGTGAGTGCCTTCACCCCGTGGACAGGCAGTTTCAATAACCCAGAAGGTGCTGAGTGAAGCATGCCCCGTTTATTTATCCCCAGTGTCACCCATCATATAGTCCATTATATTTGCTTTGGAAGGAATTAATGATATGGAAGGAAGAACAGAAGCATCTTTTTGCCAAAACTTCAAAAATAACTGACCCTTCTATTTTAATGAGCAAGATTAAAACCTGGGGAGAAGGAGAGGATAGTTTGTTGACTTCCTTTGCAGAGGAATGTGTGCCTTGTTCAGGGGGCACTGCTTGAGATTCTATTACTATGTCTTAGTCCATTTTCAGTTGCTGTAACTAAGTAGCTGAGACTGGGTAATTTATAAATAAAAGACATTTATTTTGTATAGTTCTGGAGGCTGGAAAGTCCAAGGTTGAGGAGCCACATCTTGTTGGCTTCTGGTGAGCGCCTTGTACTATATCGTAGCACAGTGGAAGGTATCACCATGTTCCCATCTCAGTGGAGCACTGAGAGGTAAACTGGTTCTTTTTTTTTTTTTTTGGTGGTGGTGGTGGGGGGATGGAGTCTCACTTTGTCGCCCAGGCTGGAGTGCAGTGGCACAATTTTGGCTCACTGCAACCTCTACCTCCTGGGTTCAAGTGATTCTCCTGCCTCAGCCTCTCGAGTAGCTGGGACTACAGGTGCACACCACCATGCCCGGCTAATTTTTGTATTTTTAGTAGAGACCGAGTTTCACCATATTGGCCAGGCTGGTCTCAAACTCCTGACCTACTGATCCGCCCACTTTGTCCTTCCAAAGTGCTGGAATTACAGGTGTGAGACACCACACCCAGCTGCAAACTGGCTTTTATAACAGACCCACTCTTGTGATAACCTATTAATCCATTAACCCATTAATCCATGAACGCATTAACCCATACATGAGGGCAGAGTCCTCATGACCCAATCACTCCTTAAAGGCCCCACCTCTTGATACTGTTGTATTGGGGATTAAGTTTTAAGAATGTGTTCGGGAGGGGAGAAACATTCAAACCACAGCTGACTCCAAGGCATTTGGAGGAACCTTGTCCTTGATTTGGTACCTACAGAATGGCATTTATCTTCTACCTGAGGGAAGGGATAGGAGTAAATACCTGGGACAGAGTCAACACTGGATATTGGGATAAAGGAAGAGAACTCTGGAAGCACTTTTTGGACTTCCTAAGTCCCAGAGTCATTGACAAAGGAAAATGAGAATAAAATCTCTTAGTTCCTCCAAGCTTCCTAGGATTCAACAGTAGACGTTTGTGGGGACTAACTAAAGCCACCTGAGTTTGATCCAGTATTCACCTCATCAACTAGCTTTTATTGAGATCTATTATATGTTTAAAGAAATTCTCCTGCCAACTAGACCTCAAGAAACTTTGGTTCCAGTGGAAGCACACACGTGTGCCCCAATCCACAACCGCCCCCCTACACAACATGCATGTGCTAGCAAACATAGAGCAGAATTGTAATGCAGTAGGAGTTCAAAGAGGAGACAATGCTGGTTTTGTTTTGCCAGAGCCTTCGGGAACGTTTAATGGAGAGGACAACATTTCAGCATAACATTGAATGCCTGACAGGTTTTACGTAATTTGGAAGAAGAGAATGAGCATTACAAGCTCAGGTGGGGACAATTTAGAGAAAGAGAGCAAAACCTTAGTTGTTGGGAAGAGAATGAGCAAAATGTGTGTGTGTGCATGTGTGTGTGTGTGTGTGCACGCACGCACATGCGTGTGTGTTTAGTGAGGCATAAAAGAGGAAGTGTGTAAGGATACCAGACTAGAAAAACCTATATATTTTTTCTTATCTGTAGAATAAGAGCCTTTTTGTGCCTTCCCTACCTGACCTGTCCTGGGCATCTGTGGTGCTGCTAATGTAATTTCCATACTTAAGGAGAACATAAATTCCACAGGTGCCTTTTTTAAAAACACATAGGCTATCCACACCCATTCCCAACCACAGAAAATACTGTATTAACTTGATTCAGGAGCACCTTTTATGATAGCATCTTTCCAAAAGATACACACAAACACAGGCCTTGTCTCCTCTTCCTCCTTTTGAAGTATCAGCCTCCAGAGACTTATGGGAAAACAGTCCCCTCTGTAGCCTCAAGGACCCCATCTCCATCCTGTGCCTCCTTCCCAGGCATGTAATACCTTCCTTCCCTTCTCCAAGTAGCAATTCAGCTTGCTTCCCCATGGAGAGAACTTTTTTTTGCCTTTATCAGGAGAAGGCATGCCTACGCAACAGATACTCAAGGAAGTTATACATCCCACCCCTTCACCCCACCTCATCCAGACACACCCTAATAACTGGTTTTCTGGAGGCAACTATATCAGTCTTATAGTCCCCACAACTCTGGACTCTGCTCTTGAGAGGGGCATTGACTAATAAAAATCTAGGCTTTGTGGTGGTGATCATAAGTGAAGATAGATTTTAAAGAAAGAAGAGGGTAGGATAAAGTGGCTAAGGTGAGCTACACCGGGTGGGAAATGGGATCTGAACCGCATTGTTCAGGTTGAGGAGAATTTTGGTTAGTTGTTAAAAGGGAGAGGAAGGAGTGCCTGATGGAAATTTTGATCGTGCTTTGGGCATTGATGATACAATATTGGATGAGGTCAGTAGAGGTTAGGAATGAATTTCCCTGCAAAGTTCTTGGCTCAGATACCTTGATTTTAAGGCTGTGTTAAGTAGTTTTCTTTCTCCTATTTCCCATTCCTTCCTGGACTAGTCATATCACAAACATCAAGCTATAAAGAGATTTCTTTCAGCAAATAAAACTCTTTACTAATTCTAGTCCTTTCGGAAAGGCTGCTGGTGATCAGCCAACCACCCCCTCCTCCCCTCTTCTTCCCTCCCTAGGGCTTTTTATTTTTTTGTCTCTCTCCAGGTTGATAGATTCCCTTGATATAAGAGGGAAAGGGAGCCGCTAAAGAGTTGTGTGTTGTATATCTTCATCAATGTCTGGGCAGGCGAAAGTGAGAGCCTGAGTCAATTAAGTGGAACACCGATGGGGAAGGGGGCGTGGTTGGTACAGTTTTAGGAGAGGACGGCGCTAAATCAAGCACATAATTTCCAAAGTGCCACCCATCAAAATCAGCTCTAAACAAGTCTGTGGTAAATTTTTAAAAGAACGTTTTAATGAAGAAATGACCATGTTTGAGATTATTTTGCAAGTAATTGAGTAAAATTCCCTAGTGGAAAATGTTTGGCGTCAAGTTCTTAAAAATGCTTCCTCCTCTTTTTTCCTAATGGACAGAGGCACAAACAGTCTCTAATCACATGAAACACAGCTCTCCTTTCCAGCCTGTAATTATCATGGGGATCCAGAGGGTGCTAGTTAAGGACTCTGTCAACTTATCCATTAAAAGAGCTGGAGTTAGGTGGGAGTTTGTGTGTGTTTTCCTTCTTTCTTTTTCCTTTAATTTTTTTTTTCTTTTTTTCTGAAGGAGTTCAGATCACAACCATTTCCAGTGAGGCTGAAACTTTGACACAGATTGTCAATGGGGGAGCAGATTATCCTCAACCAACCTTAAAATACATAGAAACAAAATGAGAGCTGCTTTGATTTGGAGGGGACCCAGTTGTCTTTCCGGCCCTTATTGTTTTCAAGGTTTCTGCTGATTTGGAGACTGGGTTTATGCTTGCTTTAGAATTGCCAGGAAAAACAGAGGGGCTTGGTCTCTTGCTTTGAGGGGACAGGGAGGCAGACGCCAATGGTTCATGCCTATCCATGGAGTTACTTACCCGCTTCTCTTGCTCCTTCTCTTGTTGGTTGCCAAGAGAAGTGGGGGTAATGCTGGGCTTTCCATTGAAATGTTCCCCAATTAAAGAAAAAAGGCAACAAGAATGCTAAGAATTATTATTCAAAAGTATTTTTTCTTTCAGTTCTTTTCAATTATGGCTTCTGTTCTAGACCCAAATGGGGAACTTACGTATTTTAAGAAGAAAATGGCACAGGAGCAGGGCCGGAATGGGCTTCACAAAAAGACTAATCTCTGTACACTCCACTCTGGGCTTACATGGCACCCAGTCAGGAAGGCAAAACCCAAGCATGAGGGAAAACTGTAAAATGTTTGTAACAAGTAAAGAATTAGATAACTCCTTATGGAAGGTACAAAGAGCCAGTGCAGATCTTTTGGATTATGTGATGCCTGACTTTTTTCCTTCTTAAAAACTTCAAGTCACTCCCTGTTTGCTGAGTGACATATAAATTCATCCTAGTGGGTGTTTAGGACAATCCAAGGCATGGGACTGACTTGCCTTTGCAGCCTAAGCTCTCTGTGCTCCCCTAGGTATACCCTGCGCACCTGCTAAACTCATTTTCTCTGCGTCCTGGGCCAATCTTCCCTCCTCACTCCATGACTTTGTTCATGTTGCTCTGCCTGCCTAAAATGCTTTTTTCTCAACTTTTAGTTGTTACCAAATATCATCCGAGTATTTACCAAATATCATCTCTCTCACATATCCTTTCTTAATTCAACCAACTCTAAGCTCCCCTCCCTCCTCTGAAAGCCCCCGGTACTTTGTTCCTCTTCCATTGACAGTGTGTATATTTGGGTATTTTTTATATTTCCTTTCTTTCTAGGTTATGAATAACATTTGTATAATCAACAGGGACCAATTCCCCAGATTTTGTCTGATACCCTACTATGGAAAGCTAATTCTGTTTCTTGCCCATTTGTGAGTGCTCTGATTTCTTTTCACTTTTACTGGGGTTTCAGTTGCAATGGAAGATCAATTATATTCAAACATCCCAGAGAGGTAGGAGACTGCCTCCTCCTTCGTGCAGTTACAGGATTTGGATGAGTCTTTTCCAGAGAAAAACTCCTTATTTTTTTTGCTGGCATTTTGAAATTTTTTTGACCAGAGAACCAGGCCTCTGGTTTCCCAGTGAGAGTCACAGCTTATATGCAAATTCAACTGGAAGGGAGAGAAGAAGTGATTTAAATTCATACTAGGCAGTAAATGACTCCTATAAATTATTTGTTAGGAATGCATTGTGATGGAGACTGTGGCTCTGGATATCTAAAAATGAAAGGAAAACAGGAGTATCAGAGAGGGTGCAGGATCTGGGAGTCACTGATGAATAAGCTAGATTTCTCAAAATTTAGCCTTGAACGAGGTTGCAATGAGAAATTCCTTAAATCAGTAGGATTTCAAATCTAATCTGTCCATTTCCCAAATCCAGGCATGTCCTTACTTCTCTAGGCAGAGATGGACTGAATGCAACACAAAACAAAACTATGAGCTACTTTGTGGAAGAGACCCTTGATAATCTACCTCCTGCTTTATTCACTTACTGGAAGGCTTTGGTCTATATCATAATGAAAACACCTCCATTGTTTCTATTTTTAATGAAAATTAAAACGGAGAGTTTGCCTGGAAAGAGGTGAAAGAAGAGAGAAACTCCAAGGCCATCAGGTACCCAAGAGGAGAAAGGAAATGAAACCTCATTTTACCTCTGGCTGACTGAATCCCTTCCCTCTCCACCCCCATGGAAATCTCATATGCCCATTTATGACAGCTCTACCGTTTGTCTGTCTTGTATCCCTCATTGGCTATGCTTCCATCCTTCTGTCAAGTTCCCACTCCGGATTCAATTTCAAATTGAACTCCCTCCCACTTTCTCTTATTCTAACCCAGAGGAGATGGAGAACAGCTGGTCACCATCTTCCTTATGATAACCCTTCATATGGTGTAATTTTATTTCCTTAAATTAATGACAGTGTGTTGGGTGCCTTCCATCTCAGACACATTTTAATAGATGCTTTTAACATACGGATAGCTGAGGGAGAGAAAACAATGCCTCTGTCATGTTTGGGCACATCCTAGATTTGAACGTGGTTAAACCCCAACAAAGCTGGCGTCTTCTGATTGGAAGCAGAATTTAGAGGAATTTACACATCTCAGAGCCCCTTTGAGCAGTTAGGATGGCGTGGCCCAGTGCAATGTGACTTTGGGTGAGGTGTGATGGGTTGTACAACATCAAACTCTGCTTATTTGTCTGGGATCAATTATTTACTAACTTAATAACATTGCTGTCATGATACACGAGCCCTACACTGAGAAAAAATCATTTCTCAGTTTTCACTTGCCAGAATTCTTTGCTCATGAGGCAGGAAGAAAACTGCATCAGAAGGGTTCTGGTTACTCATGAAGACTGCTTGTAATCTGTGATGGTACTGGGGAAAGAAATAGCATGCTTAGGAAATTACAGATTTCTGAACTATTCTCAGAGTTGTTTCCTAAGGTTGAAATTCTGGAATTCTACTCACCCTCCATCTTACCACATTCTGTTTTCAAAGTCTTTTAACCCATCCTTCCAGAATTATCCATCCCTTCCCATTCCTGTAGCTATCACCCTAGACCAGGTTTTCATTATGTTACTTATAGGCCTTTGTAGTAGCTTCCTAAATGGTCTACCCTCCTCTGAGATTTTCTAAAGGTTTTCTTTTACTTTATTTCCTCTTTCTCTCTCTCTGTCTGTTTCCGTCCCTCTCTCCCCTTCTCTCATCTTTCTTTCCCTCCCTCTGTTTCTATTGCTCCTTAGTCTTTTGCCTAAAGTAGATTCTTGTCATGTCACTTTCTGGTCAAAGTGTGGGCTGTGGAGTTTGTATCCCAGCTGTGCCAGTTACTAGCTAAGTGATCTTGAGCAAGCTACTGACTCTTGGCCTTGACTTCCTCATCTACACAATGAAGAGGTTGAGGGTCGACCCTCTAAGGTCCCTCAAAGCTCTAGTTTTCTGAAAATAGCTTTTCTTGCATAATGTCTGCCTCCTGAAGCCTTTCAATTCTTCATGCCCAAACTCAAATGTCACTCTTTCCTGGAGACTTTGCTGAGGCACCTATTAACGAAACCGCTCCCTTGTCTGAATTGCTGTATCACTTTTTAGTGTGTATCTCTCGAATCTTTTCATTTTCTGCTCATATTGTATTATATTTTCTTAGGGGAGAGACTCTATACCTTGCCCATTATACAATTCATTCCCCTTCTCTGTAATGTCTGGTCCTATGCCTGACTTGTAGCTGGCACTCAAAATATGATTTTCCTGGATAGCAGATAGTAAGCTTGGGGCTTTGGTGTAAACATCAGCAAGGTGAGACAGAGTTCATCAAGCATGGATTCACTGGCTTAGTCCATGGCGGGAGGTTAAGTACAGGGCTGAAGAAGGCTGAGACAGTGAGTTCAGCCAGGGAAGCTTCAAAGAGGGGCTTCATCTGCACCACATAGAGCCAAGCACACAAAATGTGCTCAAAAATGCTAGATGAATGCAAGAGGAAGCCAGAGATACACAATACCTGATATTAATAATTCATTTATCATTGTGCATTTCCAACACTTTCCAGTTATGCTGTCATATTTGATCCCAAACCTTAAAACTGGAACATGTAATAGGGCATATATGACTACCTCCACTATATAGACTTGGAAGTTGCATAGCTCAAAAACTTGACGGTACTGTGTAGTAACCATGTGCTGGATACCGAGGAGAAAAAAAGGAATGGAGATGGTCCTCACTGTCTATGAGATCATAGTCTTGAAAGGGAGGCAGACAGAAAGGCACACAAGAAAAAGCAACCATGACCAGGTAGTATTATCCTGTATTGCAAAGGCTGCTGTAATGGGAGTGTACCAGGAGAAGACGGCCTGTGTGGATGAGGGAAGGAGTCCAAGCATGAGAATGCTTTAGGTGAATATTAAAGGATGAGTAGAAGCAAGAGTAAGAACTCAGGAATCCTCAACTCCAAGCATATACTGTTTCTTTTTGGGCAGATAAATGCCCAAACTCAAAATACTTTTCTAATTTGTTGCTCAAAGAAGTTATTCTCCCAGCTGCAAAAACGAGTAGGTCTACTTTTGGTGTTATGGGCAAAGGCCAGTGCCACATACTGAAATACATATGTGTGCAGGTAGCATTTTCATGGAAAATTCATGCCAAAACTTGGGACAGAAAGGGCCCTCCAAGGCTGGGCCCCCTTTGTAGCCACAGCCTGCCTTTGGAGCCCCCGATGTGGGCGACAGCTGTTAAAGGTTGGTCTCCAGCTGGTGCATTTCTGTTTGCTGGGTCTGGGTTGCTGCAGTCTGGGCTAATGAGACAAAGGGATGAATGGTCTGAGGTCTGGAAAGGTGGGAAAAGGGAGGCAGGCAGAGGAGGGGCTGGGTGGTGGGGTGACTGACTAATTGCTTTGTTCTGTGGCAGGAGGCCTTTCAGCAACAACAACAGCTACTTGAAGGCCCATTGCTTAAGTGCTTTTCATCATCATTACCTCCTGTCATTAGTCCCATCAGCTGCTTCCATCAGCTCATTGCTAGTCGGGGGCCATGGCCTGTCACAAACTCGCTCCGGTCCGCAGCTCT
This sequence comes from Homo sapiens, assembly GCF_000001405.40. Lineage (NCBI taxonomy): Eukaryota > Metazoa > Chordata > Mammalia > Primates > Hominidae > Homo > Homo sapiens. The sequence goes on from NC_000001.11 coordinate 208,350,051, forward strand.
CTCTCTCTGCCTTCATCCGGAGCCAGGTCCTGTTCCTCCAAACTGTCTTTTTTTCTGGCCGTTGGTGCCCAACCTGTTCCTATGTTTGATGGGTCCATCTGTTAGGGGCCTGTTGACGGCGGTCCTTGCCATTTGCGCTGCGCCTTTTAGATTGAGAGAGGAGGCATGTCTGTCGCTGCCCTGCAGGGATGAGTAGCCCTCCAAGTCAGAGTTTTGACTTGCACCCTGCCCTGTGGCTTGGCCCTGCATCTCTCCCTACATAGGTTCCTCCTAGGCCTTAGTGTCATGAGGACCCAGGAGGGGGTTGCTTTCTCTAGGATCCCAGCAAGAATGGCTCTTTCTCTCTTCAGTCCTAGTGTGCCTAGGCTGTAACGGAACTGACATGGATGATACTGAGAGTTACCATTAAGTGCTGATATGTGCCATGCATTGTGCTAGGAACTGCAATCATTTGTCGCATCACAGGCTTTTTGGTCAACGATGGGCCATGTATCCAACAGTGGTCCTGTAAGATTATAATCTGGAAAATTTCTTTGGCCTGGCGACACCATAGGTGTTGTAAGGTCATAGAGCACCGCATTACTCATGTGCATGTGTTGATGCTGGTGTAAACCAACCTTCTGAGCTACCAGTCCAATAAAAGTCTAGCACATACAATTATGTGCAGTACATACTACCTGATAATGATAATAGATGACTATGTTGCTGGTTTATGTATTTGCTATGCTATACTTTTTATCATTATTTTAGAATGTACTCTTTCTACTTGTTAAAAAAAAAGCTAACTGTAAAACAGTTTCAGGCAAAACCTTCAGAAGGTATTCTGGAAGAAGGCATTGTCATCATAGGAGATGACAGCTCCATGCCTGTTTTTGCCCCTGAAGACCTTCCAGTGGGACAAGAAATGGAGGTGAAAGACAGTGATCTAGATGATCCTGACCCTGGGTAGGCCTAGGCTAAATTGCTTGTGTCTTAGTTTTGAACAATAAAGTTTTAAAAGTAAAAAAAAAAAAAAAAAAAAAGAATCGTAAAAGGCATATAGAATAAGAATATAGAGAAAAAAACATTTTTATACAGCTGTACAATATGTGTGTTTTAAGCTAAGTGTTATTACAAAAGAGTCAAAAATTAAAAAATAAATTTATAAAGTAAAAAAGTTACAATAAGCTAAGGTTAATTTATTATTAAAAGCAGGAGTTTAAAAAATCAATTTGGTATGGCCTAAGTGTACAGTCTTTATAAAGCCCACAGTTGTGTACAATAGTGTCTTAGGCCTTCACATTCACTCACCACTCACTCACTGACTCACCTGGAGCAACATCCAATCCTGCAAGCTCCATTCATGGTAAGTGCCCTATACAGATGGACCACTGTTTATCTTTTCTTTTCTTTTTTTTTTTGAGATGGAGTCTGGCTCTGTTGCCCAGGCTGGAGTGCAGTGGCACGATCTCGGTTCACTGCAAGCTCTGCCTCCCAGGTTTATGCCATTCTCCTGCCTCAGCCTCCCAAGTAGCTGGGACTACAGGCACCCACCACTACGCCCAGCTAATTTTTTGTATTTTTAGTAGAGACGGCATTTCACCGTGTTAGCCAGGATGGTCTCTATCTCCTGACCTTGTGATCCGCCCGCCTTGGCCTCCCAAAGTGCTGGGATTACAGGCGTGAGCCACCATGCCCAGCCCTGTTTATCTTTTATACAGTATTTTTACTGTAGCTTTTCTATGTGTAGATACACAAATACCCTTGCCTACAGTTGCCTACAGTATGCAGTACAATAATTTGCTGGCTGTATAGGTTCGTAGCCTAGGAGCAATCAGCTATACCATATAGCCTAGATGTGTGGTAGGCTATACCATCTAGGTTTGTGAAAGTAAACTCTATGTTTTTACAATGACGTAATCACCTAACGACGCATTTCTCAGAGGATCTCCCCATAGTTAAGCCAGGCGTGACTGTATATGTATATTTAATCCTCTAACAATGCTGGAGATAACGTTATCTCCATTTTACAGATGAAAAAACTAAGCCTCAGGGAGGCTAAGTAACTTAATTCAGACCACATTAACATGCCCTGGGTTTTTATGAATTCAGAGTTGTAATCAGCCGTCGCCTTGTGTGGCCAATTAGTTTATTCCTTAATTAACCCTGTGGAAGAGTGTTGGGAAGGCAGGACTTGGAATCAAACAGAGTAAGTTAAATTCTGCTCTTGGAACTTAATAAGTAATGGCCATTTAGCAAATTACTTAACTTCTTTGGCTCTCAGTTTTCTTATCTGTAAAATGGAGATTTATATCTAGCTTATTACGCTTGTTGAAAGGACTGAATAAGATAATATATGAAAAATGCCTAGTACAGAATCCTCAAAGAATGGTAACATTATTTAGGCCACAATTGCTAATAAGAATCACAATTGGGAAATATCACTAGGCTTATAGCAAGTTGTGTTATTTGAATATCAGACCGATCAATTCATGTTTCTTTACTTCTTGTACTTGCAACCAGTGAGAAAAAAAATGTGTATATTACAGTAACAAATGGCCTCCAAATCTTACTGGCTTGCTGCAACACAGGTTTATTTCTCCCCCTACGCTACGTGTCTTAGTCTGTTCCAGCTGCTATAACAAAATATGTAAACTGTGTAGCTTATACCCAACAGAAATATATTCCTTCTGGTTTTGAAGGCTGGGAAGTTTATGATCAAAGCACCAGCGATATAGGTGTCAGATGAGGGCCTGCTTCCCTGTTCATAAGGAAGCCTCTCTCTGTGTTCTCACATGGAGGAAGAGGAAAGCTAGCTCTCTCTGGCCTCTTTCATAAGGGCACTCATCCCATCTGTGGGGGTTCTACTCTCATGACATAATCATCTCCCAAAGGCCCCACCTCTTAATACTATTACCTTGGGGATTAGAATTTCAACATATTAATTTTGGGGGGACACATTCTGCCCAGAGCACTCTGTGTCCAAATGTCGAGTGGGTTGGGCTGCGTCCCATGGTCATCTCTACTTTAGGACTCAGGCTGAAAGAGCACTTCCTGGCTGGGCTACTCTAGTGATGACAGAGGGAAAAAGACATGGTGGACCAGAAACTAGCTCTGAAGCCTCTGCTTGGAAGTGACACCTATCACTTCTGCCCACGCTGCACTGGTCACGCAATCCCATGGTCACTCCTGAGTTCAACACTTGCAGCTCAGTATAAATAACCATTTCACGTGGAGACACACTGCAGGGAGTTGGAAACCAGAGTATTTAGCACATGCTAAGACAATCTGCCCCAAATTGTAAATGGGGCTGCAAATGATTTTGATAATCTTGAAATTTACCGAGTTTGGTCTTATGTACTGCTTAGATTTGCCTAGGGATGTTTAGGTTTGTTTTTGTCAGTTATAATGAACTGATGTATTGCCTAAAATAGCAAAATACACTTAGGCCTAGTAAAAACATTTTTTATTACTGGAACTCTTGTAGGAAAAATGACTTTGTTATGGCATGTTTAGAGATCTCTAGCACCAAGACTTTTTTTCCCTATTAGAATAATTGTTTCTGTAATGTTATTTTTGATAATGTGATATTTCTTAGAAATACAATCATTATTTTATAGTACAAAAGAATGCATTTCTGTATTTTTCAGAAATCTGAGCTGTAATAGCTTTTGATTGCCCCATGTTCCAGAGAAAGGAAGCATCAGAAGACTGCTCCCATAAACTTAATTTTCTCTATTTGAACATTTCCTTGCTCCCATCTCTACTGTAGCATTTATCCTGTTTCTGCTTTATATTTGAGTTATTTATTTACTTGCTGATCACAGTCTGCTACTAGAATATCAGTTTCTAGAAGGCACCAACTATTTCTTTCTGGTCTCTGTGTCCCTTCTGCTACCCAGTCTTGCTTTGAATAAGGTTTCTTGAATTGAACTGGGTGATACACCGTGGAATACTATGCAGCCATAAAAAAGGATGAGTTCACGTCCTTTATAGGGACATGGATGAAGCTGGAAACCATCATTCTCAGCAAACTATCACAAGGACAAAAAACCAAACACCGCATGTTCTCACTCATAGGTGGGAACTGAACAATGCGAACACTTGGACACAGCAAGAGGAACATCACACACTGGGGCCTGTCATAGGGTTAGCGGGGTGGGGAGGGATAGCATTAGGAGATATACCTAATGTAAATGACGAGTTAATCGGTGCAGCACACCAGCATGGCACATGTATACCTATGTAACGAACCTGCACGTTGTGCACATGTACCCTAGAACTTAAAGTATAATTAAAAAAAAATACAAAAAAACACAAAACAAAACAAAACAAACAAAAAAAAAGAATTACCCTTAAATATAATATAAACAAATAGGCTATCTCCTTCTGCTTCTTGGGTTTAAAAGCCGTAAGAATGTTTTTCCTTCTATAGAAAATAAAGTAGAGCTCTTGCTAAACCATTTCTAGGGATCATAAAGTAGAATCTTGCTAACTATTCCTAAAGATCAAGGGTTTAATTTGTTCCTTCTAAGTACAAGGCCGACTATGCCAGTTGGAAGCTAATTTTTTTTTTCTTCTGTTCTCACCCCACTAAACATTTGCTTGTGCAGATCACATTTAGAGATGTTCTACCTATTGGGTTTTGTAAGATGGGTGGGAGCTGGCGGGGAGGAGAGTGAGAAGGAGGGAGGTTTGGGGAGAAATGACAGGCAATTGAAAAACAGGGAGAGGCTTGTATACCTTTCTATTTGAAAAAAGAGGGGCTATATGCAGTCCTGATAGAGTCTTTTATATTAAATTGAGGGGAAAAAATTCCTTCTCTGATTTTTCTGGCTGAGACCTAGGGTCAGCACAACAAAGCATGATGTTACCTGGTAGCCGATTCAATATTCAGCTTTTTCCTAAAGACAAGGGAAAAAGACAAAGGCTGGGATAGTTCCATACAAAATGATTCTATTACCCACCTCTAAATGGCAAGACTTGAATAAGGAGAAGTCTACTTACTTAAATGATAATGAGTTTTTTACAGCTTGCTTAAGAGTCACATTGACTGCCTTGTTTACCAAAGCAATGGTTGAAATACAGCACAGAATTCTAAGGACTAAATGAGTGCACACAGGTCTTTTGGGTGCCTAACTAGGGAGCTCGCTTACCTTTGCTCCTTGGGATGCCTGGATGTCCACAGGATACCAGATTCTCTACAGGTGTCCAGATTGTATACCCTATTCACTGTGTAGCCTGGTTCTCTTTGCGCAAGCCTTCATTTTGCTTCCCGCTGATCATGAACACATGTACATTCCACTTTGTATTTTTGGGTTCCTGAGTTACATAAAGTAGACCAGCACTGCTGATGAGCTTTCCCATTATCTAAAATTGTTTTGGCAGCAGGAGGCAGGAAGGAGATAAGAGAGGGGCACAGAAGGGGAGATTTTGGCTGGCATCTTCTGCCTTTCCCCACATGGTATTTTTCAGTTTGACAAAAGCCCTTCTACATTCATTTTATTGTGATGGTATGACAGGAAATAACCTTGCCTTGTGATCTGTAGACCTGAATTCTAGCCTTACTTTTGACTCTTTTAACTCATTTATTAAATATATTTTGAGTGCTTTCTACCCTGTGCAAAGCCCTAGGGGGTACAAAGATGAAAAAGTCGTCATCCTTGCCTTTGAGAGATTCAACATTTAGTGGAGAAGCATGTAAACACAAAAAATGTGGTAAAAATACAACAAGATAATGTGTGTAAAAAGGTATAGTGTATGGTTTTAGATATTCATCCAATAAACGTGAGCTACTGTTAATATTCCTTCTATTATTAGTGTGCCAACAGAGGCATGTTCAATATGCTGCAAGATCACTAATGAAAGTTTGTGCCTGGGGTGTTAGGTGGGGAACAAGAGGAAGGCTTCCCAAGAGAAACTGCTTTTGACCAGAGTCTTAGAGGAAGAACAAAAGAGCCATAAGGGAGCAGCTTGGGGTGGGAGGCTGGATGGGGGAGGGAGAAGTTAGGGAAAGAATATCCTTACGTAGAGGACTATCTGGTCAATGCAGGAATGTATGGGAGTGTGTGTGTGTGTGTGTGTGTGTGTGTGTGTTCAGTTTTGGCTTGGGTAGGGTGCAACAGTGAGGTTGAGTGATGAGAAGTACGTGAAGGGCCTCAGATCCTGCTTGGGAAATTTAGATTTTATCCTCTAAAATGTAAGACCAAAGAGAAAACACTTCATATATTTCAATGAGATTTTTGTTTCAGGAAGCTAACCATGCCCCCTGGATAATCACATGTCAATGCACAACTGACGCACATCCATTGACCTCAGTTTTTTCATGATAAGCCATGATCTGCTTACCAAGTAAACATTCTACATTCATCAAAGTAAGAAATAGGAAGGTGAAGGTCTTCTTTGTCATGATATTATCTTAAACATATCCTATCATGCACTTAATTACTTCAGGGCCTTTGCTTAACCACCTACCTTCTCCTTATTCCCCTAGTATCACTGCTTCCTACCTTCTTTGAATTTTTTCAAGTTGTCAGCATCTTCTTCTGGGCCCCACTCAAGTTATTTCTGCTCTAAGAAGCCTTCTGCATTCATTCTCTACTGCTTTGTAACAAATGAACACAAACTTCATGGCTTAAAACAACACCCATTCATTTTCTCACAATGTCTGAAGGTCAGGAGTCTGTGAACAGGTTAGGTGGGCTCTTTGTTCAGGATCTCACAAGTCTGAAATCAAGGTGAAATCTAGTCTGCATTCCTTTCTAGAGGTCAGCGTCCTTAAGCTTGTGGATTCGTTGGCATTATTCAATTCTTTGCAGTTGTAGAATGGAGGTCCTTCCTTTTGCAGTGGCCATTGGCCAGGAGGCTCTCTCTCTGCTTCTAGAGGCTGCACACCATTTTCTGCCTCATAGCCCTTTCCACAACACAGCAGTTTGTGTCTTCAAGGCCAACAGGAGAGCATAGGCTGCAGCTTGGAATCTCTTTTGCTTCTTCTAGACCAAACTTGTCCAACCCGTGGTCTGTGGGTCCCAAGCAGCCCAGGACAGCTTTGAATGTGGCCCAACACAAATTCTTAAACTTTCTTAAAACATTATGTGATTTTTTTAAAGCTCATCAGCTATGTTTAATGTTAGTGTATTTTACGTGTGGCGCAAGACAATTCATATTCTTCCAATGTGGCCCAACACAAATTCTTAAACTTTCTTAAAACATTATGTGATTTTTTTAAAGCTCATCAGCTATGTTTAATGTTAGTGTATTTTATGTGTGGCGCAAGACAATTCTTATTCTTCCAATGTGGCCCAGGGAAGCCAAAAGATTGGACACACCTGCTCTAGACTCTCTTTGCAAAAGACCCGCCTGATTAGGTTGGGTCCACCCACACTCAGAGGAAGGGGCTGATACAGGACATGCGTGTCACGGGGTGGAAATTTTGGGAGTCACCTCAGAATTCTGCCTACACACCTTTCCTTACTACCTTATAAAACAGTTGTTCTTCACCTTCTTGAAATTCTTAAAGTTCCTGTGTGGTCTGTTCCCATCCACTCTGTGTAAACACTCAGTTATATACTGCTTCCTATTACATTTGAGCTGTTGCAGGACTAGTCTCTTCAACTTTCAGAACCAAGAAGATGCCTCCTTTTTTTTTTTTTTTTTTTTTGTATCTATTTGTGCCCCCACTCAGTGCTGGGAGACTGGAAACTTAAAAGGTACTGCTGTTTTTTCTTCACTTTTTGATCTTGTCCTGAACTTTTTTGTGCATATGTTTTTTATTGCCATGCTAATAACACGCAGAGCAGTGGCCTTGCAGTGAAAGAATGCTCGGGGCCCCGGGAGAACTCGCTGAAATTCCATGCCACACGATATCTCTGTGGAGGCAGTGAGTGCAGTCCTGCAGATTGGAGATACTAAATTTTGGAGCCTCAAGGTAACTAGAGAAACAGCTTTGTTTGTGAACAGGAATAAATTCTCTGCTTAAAAATGAAATCTTAACTTTCAGTTAATGTCTAACAGAAGCTTATAAGCTTTCTCTGATAGGTGATCTACCTTTGAACTCAGTTTCTGTTTCTCCTTTGGAGACCTGGTTTTAAAAGGGGAGTGACTTGGTAAGCTCCAAATCTACCCCCAAACGTTTTATCTGTTAGGATAAACCTTCCAAGGAAGGTGTAGTGTGTTTGGAAAACAAATGCATAGCAAATGCTGTTTGAGGCAATCCATGTCCACTCAACTAACCGAGCTTGACAGGTTCTAAGAGATGATAAAGCATATGAACTACTTTCCACACAGAGAGCAGAGCTTAGAGCTTCTCTCTATTAGCACCACCTCTGGCTATGGCATAGCAAAATCACTCAATAACTTTTGATGTTGAGTTTGAACAACAACAACAACGGAAAAGAGTTCTGTCCCCATTTGTTTTTTTCATGCTTGCTGTAATGGCAGATTGTTAAGACAGGGCCATTAAATATATAAGTGCATGGCCTTGTCCTGGTCAGGTCCGAACCCAACCCACCCACGTTGTATATACAGACTGATGTTTAAAGTTGGGAGATGGCTGTGTATATCCAGAACAGACAGATGTATTGTGGATATAAAGAAAATGTATACAATAGACTGAATTTCAATGTATACAAGGGAAATACACGCTAGACATGGTTATTGCTTGGAGGAGCAGGGCTGAGAGTCAGAGGACGAAGGACTCCAACCTTCTAAAGCCTCATTACTGAGCTATTCTGAGAGGCAGAAAATATCTGGTGACTAGAAATCCATCAACAATTCCTCCTAAACTTAATGGTTTTATTATCTCCCCATAGTCGCTTACAACAATCCAGAAAATCTAGGACAGCATGTGACCCATTCCGGCTGGTCATAGTTGTAATGCTTACTTAGTTCAGAGCCCCAGACAAAGGCATGGGATTGTGCATGCAGAGCAAATGTGATGAAGCCTGATTGTCTAGGGAGGATGTACCATTGCTCCCTTCTCATGAAGATTTTATTAGAATTCATAGGAAATCAGAACTGAAAGCAATCCTAGAGATTGTCTTACCAAATCTCTCATTTGCAAATGAGAGAACAACTGAGATTTGGATAAGGTAAAAATAGCTTGTGTAAGGTCAAACCATCAGGTGGTAGCTAAGAATGGCCTGGGGCTTGCTCAGCTCCTCTGATTCCTTGTTCATATTAAATGTTCTTCTGTAATCACGGACACAGAAAAGATTTTAGAACCTTCACTCTCAGACTTCAGAATACTCACTGTTTATTGAGTGGCCACTGGTTGTGGGGCTATGTACTTGGCATGTAGAAAGTAACTAAAAACAAAAGACTTTTCCTCCACATGAAGAGGCAATTTTCACAGATTTTTAAGGAAGTTTCTCCTACTCCTTGGTGTTACCAGAAACTCTGCCATAAGTGCTCCATTCTTCTTGTTTTTTTTTTTTTTTTGAGATGGAGTCTCGCTCTGTTGCCCAGGCTGGAGTGCAGTGGCGCGATCTCAGCTCACTGCAAGCTCCGCCTCCCGGGTTTACGCCATTCTCCTGCCTCAAACTCCCGAGTAGCTGCGACTACAGGTGCCCGCCAACATGCCTGACTAATTTTTTGTATTTTTGGTAGAGATGGGGTTTCACCGTGTTGGCCAGGATGGTCTTGATCTCCTGACCTCGTGATCCACCTGCCTTGGCCTCCCAAAGTGCTGGGATTACAGGCGTGAGCCACCGCGCCCGGCCCAAGTGCTCCATTCTTTAGCTTAAGACTTATGTATCTATTAAGATGCAATTATCTTCAAAAGAGGCATCCCCTTCCATCTACCCATGGACTCTCAGGATGAATAATTTCACCATAGCCCCTCCTGATGAGGAAGAAGAGAAAGGCCTAAGAGAGCTAGAGTGAGAAGAAAGGCCCTTAGAAGAAGGCTAGCGTGAGGATGGGGCTGAAAAACAAATTTCAATGAATCATAGTCTTTTCAGGGTCAGCCTGATGGTGAAAATAGTAGAAAATCCATAATGTGTTATATAGATTTCCCTAAGGTGCAAGAATAGGAAGAAAGGAGAGTGGCTGTAGTCAATTTCAAAAATAGACACAGTTCTCCACCTGTGAATTTGGGCTGTTTTTGTGACTTGCTTTAGATAATTGAATGTGGCAGGAGTGCTGTCATGCTGATTTTGAGTTCAAGCCTGGAGAGGCTCTACATTCTTCCTCTTTCTCTTGGGATGCCTATCACCACTGCCCTGTGAATAAGCCCAGGCTCGCCAGCTGGAGGATGAAAGACCATGTGGAGCAGAGATGAGCCATGCTAGTGGAAACTTCTTAGACCACCCACTCACTTGTCACCTGTTATAGGCTGAATTGTGGCACCCTCAACCTCTAGTTCATACATTGAAATCCTAATCTCTAGAACTTTAGGATGTAATTATATTTGGAGATGAGGCCTTTAAAGAGGTAATTAAGTTAAAATAGGGTGTGTAAATTGGACTCCAATTCAATATGAATAGTTTCCTTGTAAGAAGAGGAAATTTGGACACAAACATATGCAGTCACAGAGAAAAAAAGAACATCATGAAGACAGAGGGGAAAATGACAATCTACAAGCCCAGAAGAGAGGTCTTAGAAGAAATCAACCCTGCTGATACCTTGATTTTGGACTTCCTTCCAGTCTCCAGGAAATAAATTTCAGTTTTTTTTAAGCACCCAGTCTGAGGTACTTTGTTATGACAGCCCGAGCAAGTGAATATACCACCTAGCAAATAACTATAGATGCACATGCAAGTTTTGCCAAGATCAGCTGAGCCTGGCTCAGATTAGCAGAACGACTCAACTGATCCCAGCCCAAATTACCAACCCATTGATTGTGATATAAATAAACCATTGCTCTTTTAAGTCTTTTAAGTTTTGGAATCATTTTTTACATGGCAATAGATAACTGATACAGTGGTTAAAGACTCATCAGACATCCTACTGCAAATGCATGAATGTTGATTTTGCATGCAGAATTCATAGCATTCCCCACTGGTCCTTGTGGGGGTGGGAGGGTATAGAACAGAGTTTATTCTGTATTGATGAGACCCACCAGTCTTCCATTCCCAACTCTAACACCATCAGCAAGAAGAACTGTTACTGATGCTGCTCTACTTGTTCTCTATGCTTTCTAAATTGTGCCCACTCTCAACTGGTATAACAAACTCCCCAACTAGGAGTCAGACAACTTATTTCAGTTAGTGCCAGGGCAACCATCAGAGGCCGGGTTATCATCCGTGAGGACCATAGGAAGAGCAGCCCAACATGGTGGTGCAGGGAAGAAAGGCCACACATATTGGTACTAAATGCTTCTAGGTTGAATTTCTAGGTCTGCCAACTTATATGTCTTGGGGGAAGCTCTTCAAGGTGATGTTTCTTATGTATACAATGATGTGGATAGCAACATGTTCTTCCAGAATTGGTGTTCCATGTGTCAAGTTCACATAATGGCAAATAGCCCAGCATTCTGAACATACTAGGCAGTCTATAAATGTCAGTTGCCTAACAGTATCGGGAGGCTACGATTCAGTTATTTGCTAATGTTTGATTAGTGCTAACAAGTGCCAGGCACTATTTCAGGCTCTAATAAGACAGTGGGTGAGCCAGATAGATAATGTCCCTGCTCTCATGGAGATGACATTCTACTGGGGATATTAAGGGGTTAGAAACTATCTATTTATCTATCATCTATCTATCTATCTATCTATCTATCTATCTATCTATCTATCTATCTATCTAATCATCTACCTCTCCTATCTCTATCTATCCATCTATCTCTACCAATCTATCATCTATTTATCAATTGTGGGGTACTTACAAGGTAGTGAGGCTCTGCTCCCATCCAGTTACCTGTAATCAGAACAGTGTTTCTTCTATGTGTTTTAGATAATGGGCTTCCGAGTAAGGATTGATTTGAAGAAAGGGTTATCTAGTTGGAAAAAAAAGAATTTGTAAACTACTCCATTGGTACATCTGCCATCAGGGAATTCCATATTTTTCCTCATGTAAATGATTTTACAAGTTAACTCAAGCTTACTACTTTAATTTGACAATGTTATAAAAATATATAGCATATAAAAAGGAAATTTTAAAAATATGGCACACTTCTCTTTCTTAAATAGAGTATGTTAAGCACAGAGTCTGTTGAACAGAATGCACACTTTTCTGGATGCTTCCAAATTCTCAACCTCTCCAAAGCGTTTGACAACACTGACATCCTGCTCTTTGAAATTTTCCTAGGCGTTCACAACACTGAATTATTTTTTTTTATACTTTTGGGACTACTTTCTTCTCAGTTTCCTTAACCAACTCCTGTTTCTCTTCCTACCCCTTAAATGTCACTGAAATTCTTCTTTTGTTGTCTTCATTCTCTATGTAGAGTCAGCAATCTTCTTCTTGCAGATGGAAGATGACTCCTGATTTCATATATCAAAACCCATTTTTTTTTCCATGGGGAATAAAACATTTTAGCTTCTTATGCGGTAGGCATGGCTACCACAAGGTCCCAGGGGGCACAACAACACAAGTCCAAATCTTGGCTCCTATGTCTCTAAAAAGCAACTCCTACTCCTGCCTTCCTTAGCTGTGGTGTGGTGCTATCTGTCTGCCAAGCATCCTATATGGAACCTCAGGGTCTTCAGCATCTAATCCTGTCTTTTCATGCCTAGCCTACAGTGGTTCTTAAGATCTGTTGATCGAGTTCTACAAATTCTGACTTCTTTTTATGATCCTAGTTCAGGACCTCATTTTCTCTCACTTGGACTGTTGAAATTGTTTTCAAACTGATCTCCTTACCTTTATTATCTGGCCTTCACAACTATTTATGTATTGCTTTGAGAGTACTTTAAAGAAGAGCTTTGATTGTATCACTTGCTATTGGAAAATCTTTATGGCTTCCCACTGAATATAAAATAAATTCCAGATTTCTGAGTATGTCACCCTCCCTGACCTGACTCCAACTTGCCTCTCCACATTATTCTCTATACAACTCTGACTTTGAATGTTCCTTGTACTTAAAGTGTTTGTTTTTTGCTTATATTTATGTTTATTCTCACCTTTTTCCATTTGTCTAAATTCTACCTACCTCTCTATTCATGTATAATTTTAGGTATTTTCTTAGGGAGAAATGAATAAACAGTGGTTTGCCTATAAGCTACAGATGGAGAGAAAGTATTCACACTATGCATATTTGACAAATGACTTGTTTTTATCCAGAAGAACTATTACAATTAAATAACAAGAGAATCCCATTACTGAGTATACACCCAAAGGAATAGAAATCATTCTATTATAAAGATACATGCATGTGTATGTTCATTGCAACACTATTCACAATAGAAAGGACATGGAATCAACCTAAATGCCCATCAATGATAGACTGAATAAAGAAAATGTGGTACATATACACAATGGAATCTACACAGCCACAAAAAGGAATGAGATCATGTCCTTTGCAGGGACATGGATGGAGCTGGAAACCATTATCTTCAGCAAACTAACACAGAAAGAGAAGACCAAATACTGCATGTTCTCACTTATAACTGGGAGCTGAGTCATGAGAACACATGGACACATGGTGGGGAACAACACACACTGGGACCTGTTGAAGGGTCAGGGGTAGGAGGAGGGAGAGCCTCAGAAAGAATAGCTAATGGATGCTGGGTTTAATGCCTAGGTGAAGGGATGATCTGTGTGGCTATTCACCATGGCACATATTTAACTATGTAACAAACCTGCACATCCTGCACATGTACCCCTGCACTTGAAATAAAAATTGGAAATTAAAAAAGATCAAAAATTTTATTCACAAAAATATGTGTAAATGGCCTATAGGCACATCAAAATATGCTCAGCAGCATGAAAACTGCAACACAGTATATATCATATACTAAGCCAATTAGCTAAAATTAAATCTGACAATCCCAGGTGTTGATGAGGTTGTGGAGCAACTTGAACTCTCATATGTTTCTGATGGGAATGTGAAATGATCCAATAACTTTAGAAAACAGTTTGGCAGTTTTTCATTAAAATAGACATATACTTAACACAGGACTCAATAGTTTCACTCTGAGGTATTTACTCAAAAGAAGTGAAAATATGTCCTTACTAAGATTCATACCTGGATATTCTCAACAACTTTATTTATAGTAGCCCCAAACTGGGAACAATCGAAACGTTCATCAAGTGGTAATAGGTTTTACCTGTGTCCCCACCCAAATCTCATCTTGAATTGTAGTTCCCATAATCCCCACCTGTCATGGGAAGGAACAGGTGGAGATAATTGAATCATGGGGGAGGTTTCCTCCACCCTGTTCTCATGATACTGAGTTAGTTCTCACGAGATCTGATGGTTTTATTAGCGGCTTCCCCCTTTGCTGACCACTCATTCTTTTCCTTTCTGCCACCATGTGAAGGAGGATGTGCTTGCTTCCCCTTCTGCCATGACTGTAAGTTTCCTGAAGTCTCCCCAGACCTGTGGAACTGTAAGTCAATTAAACTTCTTTCCTTTATAAATTACCCAATCTCGGATAAGTCCTTATAGTAGGTAGAGAACAGACTAATACAAGGGTGAATGGGTGAAACAATTATAATATATTTAAGCAATAGAATTCCACTCAATATTAAGAAGAAATGAACTACTGATATACACAATAGCATTGACGAATTTTTTTTCTTTTGTTTTTGAGATGGAGTCTTGCTCCGTCATCCAGTCTGTAGTGCAGTGGCATGATCTTGGCTCACTGCAATCTCCGCCTCCCAGGTTCAGGTGATTCTCTTGCTTCAGCCTCCTGAGTAGCTGGGATTACAGGCGGGTACCACCATGACTGGCTGATTTTTGTATTTTTAGTAGAGACGGGGGTTTCACCATGTTGGCCAGGCTGGTCTCGAGCTCCTGACCTCAGGTGACCTGCCCACCTTGGCCTCCCAAAGTGCTGGGATTACAGGCATGAGCCACCTCACCCAGCCTCACTGACGAATCTTAAAATATGCTAACAAAAAGAGACACAAAAGACACATATGGTATGATTTTATGTATATGAAATGCTAGAGCTGTCGAAACTAATATATCCTGAGAGAAAACTGATCAGTGGTTACCTCGGTCTGGGAGTGGCAGGGACTACTTTTCAATGGAACATGAAGGAAGTTTTGGGACTGATGGAATTCTTTTATATCTTTTTTGGGGGTTGTAAATATGTCAGAGTATACATTTGTCAAAGCTAACTGAACTGCACACTTAAAATCGGTATATTTTGTTATATGTAAATTATACCTCAATAAAACTGATTAATAAGTAAAAGAATAATATTTTTGATTTCTGGTACTTACCTATAAGAAGACTTTTCAGGCCCTTACTCAGACACTTCTTACTTTATTTTAAATAAATTTTAAAATATATTACATAATTTCCTAGTCTAGATGAAATATATTGCTAATGGCAACAACTCTTAAACCAGACTGCCTGGATTGAGGGCTCTGTAACTTAATGATTTTGGGGAAATTGTTTAACTTCCCTATCCCCCAGTTTTCTCAGCTGCTAAATGTGGGGATAACAATACTATCTGCTTCATTGTGTTGTCACAAAGATTAATATATGTGAAATACTTAATGCAATGTTTGGTGTATAGTAAGTGCTATATGCATCTTTTTCCTTCTGTGGAGTACCCTTTTCAAAATGTTTGTCATATTCTGAGTTGAATTTGAGCTACTTGTTTTTACGTGCTGTTGCCATTTGATTGTAAGCTGCTTGAAAGCAAGGGACATGTTTTGTTCTTAATGTCTCCTAGAGAATCAACCATGGCACAACATTTAGGATAGTTGGTTGAATTTTTATTCCCCTATTAGAATGTGTCCAAATATTGAGATAATACTAGAACTAGCAATCTGTGAGTGTCTATTGCACACAAACACTTATTTAATTTTCAAAACAACCTGACAAGATAGGCATTATTATTAATTCAATTTCAGAAATGAGAATTCTCATTTCTTGATCAGAGAGGTTAAGTGACTTACCCAGGGCCATGTGGCTAGGCAGGGAGACTAGATTTTTTTTTTTTTTTAAAGATAGGATCTTGCTCTTTTGGCCAGGCTGGAGTGCAGTGGTGTGATCATGGCTCACTGCAGCCTTGAATTCCTGAGGAGGTTGGATTTTAATGCTGTCTTAGGACTTTGATGTTTTATAGAACCATTTGCTTCTATGCTGAGAAGCCTGATGTGGTTCTGTTTTGTGTCATCTTGTGTCTGATTTTTATGTTTTTTTTCTTTCTATTCTCTCTACCCTCCTGTTTATGCCAGACTTTTCACGTTGTCCATGTACATGAGACTGATAAAATCTACCACTGCTCCCTCTTTACCTCCAGTAACTTCCATTGACAACTGTTAACGGCCAAGAAATTATAATAACTCACTTTGCTTAAATTTTATGTAAAGCAAGAGTAAATAGGCTCTGAAGGAGGATATGTCGGGGGTTTCCTATAATTGTCGTTCAGGGCAGGAGCTTTTCTGCAAATTTTTTAAAGAAATGATGTATAATACAGAGTCAAATGGACAAATCATAGGTGCAAAGCTCCATGAACTTTTACAAAGTAAATACCCATGTAATCATCACTTACATCAAGACATAGATAATTACCAGTAGCCCAGAATCCTCCCTGGTTTAGGGCAGACACATATGATTCAGAGTTCTTCTTTGCTTATGCCTGTGTTCTGGATGGTTGCACTTCTGAATAAGTTAATATTATTCATGAATTTTCATAGTCTGATCTTTGCAAATATACAATATATCCCTGAAGTACACAGACAATGCAGCAATGCCTTAGTCTTCTCCTATGTCTGGAAAGCGAGCTGCATAATGGTTAGAAAAAGGAGACAAGGATGGTGGGAGGATTATGGAGTTGATGAGCTCAGTGCTCCCAGCATTGGCTCTTTTCTGCAGAACCAACTCACTCAGGGCAATATTGCCCCGAGTTCCAAACTGCACTGAGTCTGTTTGCAGAGTTCTGCATCTCTGAAAGATAACTTCAGACCACTGTTTCCCAGCCCCCAAGGCATCCTAGAAAGCAGCTTGTGTTTCTCTGTGGGTATCACATCTCCTGCTCCTGCCCTGTGACAGTGTTTCTTTTAAGCTTGCTATGTCCTTTTGATCTGCTGAAAATGTCCTTCTCTATACTTCTGATTAAAATGAAATTAAACCTGGGGAGTAGGGCAGGGGAGGTTGGGGCCAGAGCATGAATGTGTTGCCCGAGGCCCTGGCTGGGCCATCTTCCAGCTTCTGAGAGACTACTCTGGCCAAAGGGGTCTTCGGAGAGGCAGCCCCAACAAAAGGCTGGCTAATGTGCACTGAGAAAGAGCACTCTCGCCTGCCCCCTCCCCAGCACTGCTGGGGCTGGAGATGTGGGCTGCATTTGGAAGCTTAGCTGCCAAACCTACTGTAACAGGGGGAGGGGAAGAACTGAGGGAGCTTCAGCGAGACTTTTATCACCCATTCTGGCCTTCTGTAGATAATGGGCTTGATGCTTCTTTTTCCTCATTTTATTCGTCTGGTGATTAGGTGATGAGACTAGAAGCCCTGGGCAAACTCCAGTGCGTCTTAGTAAACCATCTCTGTGAAATGGTTAAGTTTACTTAGAAGGTAACTGGAGAGGTGCAAGTGGAAGAATCACCCTTATGAATTCAAACCCAAAGCCCTGAAGATGAGCTCTGGAGGGGGAATCTCCAGGCAGGAGAGGCCCCGGGCCAAGTGCTGCTCATGTGGCCAATGCCTGGGGTTCTTTGGCTCCGGGATCTCCTGGGATAACAACCCACGTGGCTGACTTGCTCTGCCTTTCTTCCTTGGCCCAATCTAAGCCTAAATGCCTTCCTTGGAGGCCCTGTCTTGACCCAAGCAAAATGGATCTTTTTGAAAGACTTTACTGAACTGAATAGTAAGAGAAAGCAAGAGTGAAAGAAGCCCAGGAAATATGAGACATATATTAAATATCCTGGCTCACTTCTCGTATGGGTTCCTGATGCTACCACATCCTGCCTGCCCCAAAGGCTGAAGGTTATATCTTCTTTTACCAAAGGTCTTGCAAACTCAGATGGCTCTTTGACTGGGATTCTTACTTCTTACGTTTCAGTCTATATCCATGTGGGCATGGGGGTTCACGAATGAGGAAAAAAAGGCTGCCCTGTATTAGCTTCTAATGTGTTACAGACACTCTGCAAAGTGGTTTACGTGCATTATTTTATTTCCTCTTTCCAACAATCCTATGCAGTGAGTACTATTAATCCCATTTTACAGATAAAAAAACAAAAGCTCAAACAGATTAATTAATTCTGTGGCTCAAGACCACAAAAACTGGTAAATGATGGAGTCAAGATTTGAACCCAGGTTTTATAATGCATGACCCAAGACTACCCTCTTAAATGCTGTAACAATTCAAGGTCAAACCTGAGAAAAGACTGTTCTATTGTCCTTCAGCCTCTGGACTAAGTAACGGGACTTTTCTCTTGGTAATTGCCCTATGAGGTATCTGGGTCTTTGCAACAGGTGTACAGTTTTGTCCATGGGTGCCAACCATATAGTCACATTATTATGCATTATCATACTTCAGCATTCGTAAAAGATCTACACAAATTAAATAAAGGGAGGGTCACTACTTCACAAGATGATTTTGTGTCTTATGAAAGGCTTCAACACAAGATTCTTTTATCCGGCAAACACAGCCATGCATTTCAAGCATTAACTGATTTGCATACAATCACCCAGGAATACATCTCCTCTGCATGAATAATCACTGTTACAGTTAGAGCAGCTATCATTTACTGAATATCTACTATGTCCCTCAAACTTTATTTACACATTTTCATTCATCTATCAAAACTTGGCAAGGTGGTATTATCTTCCCCATTTTAGAACTGAAGCTGGCACTTTCCCATACTTACAGAGGTAGGGAGGAGCAGAGACTCTAAACCCCGTTCTGCCTGACTTTAGAGACTTTATGCTTCTTACCATTCCAGATGGGCACATGAATGAGAAGATGCCTGCTCTAATTCACTTCAACAATCTAGCTCACCATCATATCGTTAGTACAAATTACTTTTTTTCTTTTTTTTTTTTGAATAGGGTGGTAAACTTCAAATACTTCTCAATCCCTGATAAAATCTTCTTATTATGTGAACTTGCTTCCTCTTTTGCTTTCACTAAAGTGCTCTCCAGAGTGACCTTGTCCCCTTCAAACTTCACTTCCTCTTTAGTCCTGTCCCCTTGTCACATCATATCAACCACCCTCTATCCCCCTCAGTATTCTTAGTCAAATAAATTCAATTTTCTCCACAAATACTTTTTGGTGGCTTAGTTTCTGCCATTCCCTTTGAATATGAAGAAGAAGGTGATAGACGACCCCAGGCTTTCAGGGATCTTCTATTCCATTAGATTGGAGCTGTCAGGAATTAAAGAATTGATTAAGCAATTATTTAGTCAATTAAAATAGTGATAGATGCTACTGTGGGGAAACAAGTGTTAAAAAGCAGGTGCAGTTTCAATTCATTTAGTACCTATGGAATACTTGGACTGTGCAATGCACCTTACATACTTTAACTTATTTAATTTTCTTAATAACACTTTGAGGCAGGCTCTGTTCTTACCCCCATTTAATAGCACAGACAGGTGAAGTAACTTATTCAAAGCCTTATAAGCAGTGGGTGACAGAGCCAGGATAGAATGTCAAGAAGTGTGGCTCTGGAGCCTGGAATATTAAAGCACTGTTAGAAATGAATATGGAGAGTATCGACCTAGGGAGTAATGTTTTGTTGACATTAGAATGGATGAAAGGAGATGACAGGAGAGTGGAAAGAAAGCACACGTGGCAGAGGCAAGTTCAGTTGCAAGGCCCTGAATAGGGGTTGGGGATGGGGCAGGGTGAGCCTGTGAGGCTAAGGAGACAGGTGCCATCCCACAGCCCTTGTGGGCCATAGGCAAGGGCTCTAGTT
The DNA here is from genome assembly GCF_000001405.40 of Homo sapiens. Classification (NCBI taxonomy): domain Eukaryota; kingdom Metazoa; phylum Chordata; class Mammalia; order Primates; family Hominidae; genus Homo; species Homo sapiens. The sequence continues at coordinate 208,370,007 of NC_000001.11, forward strand.
TTCATCCTGAGAGCTATGTAGATCCCTGGAAATGTTTCAGCATGAAGTGTGGGTATTTTCATCTGCCGTGCACTTTTTAATCTGGTCCTGACTACTGACTGCTGCTGAGGGGCATCTCTTAACCTTGGCCTCTAACTGAAGCTGAGCCTCAGGGAAGTCCCCTCCCATAAGCAGGGGTTAACATGTCCTCACTGGCCTCAAGTCACCCACCTCATCACTGCTGTCACCAACCAGCCCACCAGGAGGGCACACACGCACCCCACATTATTCTTGGCTGGTGATCCTGCTTGCTCATCACAGAAATAACTGAGGCTGTGAGGCTGTTAGGTATCGTGCCTTGACTTTACAAACATATGTGTATGGGAATCCCACAACCACCACTTACTAACCCGTGACTGGGGGCATGTTGTTTAGCCTCTTTGTGTCTCAGTTTCCTCATTTATAAATAGGGAATAAAAAAGGTATTGCTTTATGAATTCTTGAGAACATGAAATAAGTTAACATATGTAAACATATATTAAGTGTGCAATATTTTTGAATGTATGTAAAGTGTGCCTGGTATATCAGAGTGCTTATTATTATTATTATTATTACCATGACTCTTACTTCTGTTGATTTGCACCTGCCTCAATCAGTTCTCCTAGTCCCTCCTCTGTCTGTACGAAGCAGTAGGGGATGATGACTCACTATGTTGCCTAGGCTAAAGTGCAGTGGCTATTCACAGGTGTGTTTATAACACACTACAGCCTCCAACTCCTATGCTCAAGGGATCCTCTTGCCTCAGCCTCCCAAGTAGCTAGGACTACAGGCATGTGCCACCAGGCCTGACTTACCTGTACTCTTGACCTATCCTCTCTCTCTTTTTTTTTGTAAGCCTTATCCACTGTTTTTTTCCTCTTGCTTACAGATTTCCAAAATTTCTCTCACTTCTGATACAGTTCCCAAACCTTGAGAAAATTTTCGTGTGTCTCTTAAACAAACAATTAAAAAAGGCAAAACAACAATGAAAAAGGCAGAAACAATAGCAGCTTTGTCCTGCATCTCTCTCCACCCCCGCCTTTCCAGGCATCCCTCATCACCGAGCCCCCGGAAGGGCATCTCCTCTGGTTGCTTTCACCTGCTCAGCCTCCTGTTCATCCCTCAGCTTCCTGCAGTCACGCTCCTAAGCTAATTTGCTCTGAGAAAAGTGCTCTCATAAATCTCGCTAATGACTTCCTTGTTTTCAAATCCAAAGGACTCTTCAGTTCTTAGTGCAGCAGGTAAACTTTGAGTTGTCCACTACTTTCTTTCTGAACCCCTGTCCTCCCTTGGCTTTGGAGATGACTGTTTCATTGGGTTTTCTTCATCATCTTGACATTTTCTTCTCAACTGCAATTGTGTGATGGTCTTTCATGTTCTCTTCCTTTTTCTACTCCTTAAACTCTTGTGTTTTTTTGGTTCTCACTTGATCTGAGAATTGCATCTGTGTTCAGGTTTCTACCTATTTCCTATGTCCTGGTTCCTCATGTGTCTGTGTCTCCAGCCTGGATCTTCAGCCTGAGCCCCAGTCTCATATCCCAGATACGAGATACCTGGATGCCTCACAGGTTGCTCAACTCCATCATGTCCCAAACACAATCAGTGGTGATCTTTCCTCAAAACAGGATCGTTTCTTTTTTATCTCTCTTTTGAATAAATGACCCCAAAATCTGCTCATTCAGCTAGAAATCCAAGACCCATCCTTGCTCTTTCTTCTGCTTTACCATGTGACCATCTAAGTGGCTATGGAATTCTGTAGACCCTGCCTCCAGCCTCACTCGTTTCTCTCCCTCTTCTCTCCTGACATTATAAGTCACTCTTGTCCCAGCTCGGGCTGTTCTTCTCTTATCTGGTCTTTTGTGATAGACCCCTATATTGGTCCATTTTCACATTGTTGATAAAGACATAACCTGAGACTGGGTAATTTATAAGGAAAAAGAGGTTTAATGGACTCACAGTTCCACGTAACTGGGGAGGCCTCATAATCATGGTGGAAGGCAAAAGGCACATCTCACATGGTGGCAGACAAGGGAAGAGGGCTTGTGCAGCGAACTCCCCTTTATAAAACCATCAGATCTCGTGAGACTTATTCACTGTCACAAGAATAGCACGGGAGAGATGTTCCCCCATGATTCAGTAGTTACCTCCCACTGGGTCCCTCCCACAACACATGGGAATTGTGGGAGCTACAATTCAAGAGGAGATTTGGGTGGGGATACGGCCAAACCATATCAACCCCTAATTGATCTCCCTACTTCCAGTGTGTTCCTCTGGCATCCATCACACATTGGGCTGCTTCTAGGGTGATTCTTCTGAAGTGCAAACCATGTTGATCTTTCCCTTGCTTAAAATTCCAAAATAGTTGCTGAAGAATGAGTTTCAACCTTCTCAGCATACCATGTATGGCCTGTTACACTCTGGTCCCTACTTGCCCTCATCATGGGCCCTTCACTGTGTGCAAAACTCCCTGCAGTTCTTAGAACGTGCTGGATTATTTGATATACCTGGCCCTTTGCCTATCCTGCTTGCCCCCTCTGCCTTGTGAGCATCTCCTCAACCTAGAATCTTGGTCTTCTCCACTTTTTTTTATATAGGCTTCTATTTTAGCATCTGTAGAATTCTATATTTTTCACTTATTTGTTTGCCAAATCTTTAGTTCTGCTCACTCTCTGAGGGCAGGGTCTCTCTTTCTCTCTCATCTCTAATGCCACATGCTGTACTGGGAGTGTGGTAGCTGATCTTTAAATGTTTGTTGAATGAATGAATATATCTTGAATGAGTAGAGAGTGCAAAATGTCTCCCTTTCACAATAGGCATTCTAGTGTAGGATGTAGAAAACTGTAACTTTTGGTAAGTCAATGGACCTCTCTGAAGTCAGTTTTCTCATCAATAAAGTTTGAATTACAGTATATCAGCTTCAAGGCTGAGAGATGAGCTAGACAGTATTTTGAGGTCTCTCTAACATTCAGAACACTTTTAGATGAATAGGATTTATTAGTCTAGTTTCCTCTCCTTGCCTAAAAATGTTTTTTTTTAAAATGCATTTTAAATACTACTGGAACTTACTGAGTTTATTAGTTGTATTAAATACTTATATATTAAGTGCTTAAAAACGTAATTGGGTGGGGTATGGTGACTCATGCCTGTAATCCCAGCACTGTGGGAGGCTGAGGCAGGCAGATCACTTGAGCTCAGGAGTTCGAGAACATCCTGAGAAACACGATGAAACCCCATCTCTACAAAAAATACAAAAATTAGCTGGGCATGATGATGCATGACTGTACTCCCAGCTGATTGAGGAGGTGAGGAGGGAGGATCACTTGAGCCTGGGAGGTAGAGGCTGCAGTGAGCCAAGATGGAGCCACTACACTCCAGCTTGAGTGACAAAGCGACAACTTGTCTCAAAATAAATAAATAAATACATAAATATGTAATTGTTGTGTCATTCTATCAGTAATCCACTGAGGAGGTATTTTCATTATCCCCATTTTGCAGTTAAAGAGGCTGAGGTCTAGGGTCATTGGCCAGTGGGTGTTGGAGCCAGGTTTCAGACACAGTCACATCCATGGTGATGAAGTGTGATTTACCCCTGTTCTACACTATCTCAATTTTTGAAGCTGTGGTTGGGAACCAGGTTTCATTTTATTATAATATAGGCCAGGGATTGGCAAAGTTTTCCTGTAAATGTGCAGAAGGTAAATATTTTATTCTTTGCTATTGCATATTCTTTTTTTGTGTGTGGTGGAGAGGAGGGGTATTTTAATTTTGTTTTGCTTTCTACAATCTTTTAAAAATGTAGAAATCATTTTTCATTTACGGGCCATACAAAAACAAGTCATGGGTAGGGCAAGTGGCTTTATCCTTCATAGAGTTAGCCTTTTTCTCCCTGAGCTTACCAAGTCAGGACAGTTTTTCTATTAGAACATTGAAGCAACACAAGAATCAACGAATGTTTCAGTAAGTCTTGTTAGAGAAGATCAGCCAGATTCCACAGTAAACAGACTGACAGTCACAGCCTCCTTTGCAGCAGCCTACAAGAGTTCCATTAAATGCTGACCAGCCAGGCCCAAAATGTCAATGTCTGCTCTGTGAATAGTCCCTTTTTATAGAATGGCACATCCTGTAGAGAGCCAATATCTTAACTTCATCATTCTGGTCTCAGTAACTTACATAAGATCTTCCCCCCAAAAGATCTGTGATAAAATAGGGAAGGTGACTCAAGATCTTTGACTGCCTGGTCTTAAATCTAAATCAATCAACAAGTTAAGAGTCTATTTAACACCTCTTCCCTAACCTCTAGTGTTGCATTTGGGATACAAGAGAACAAAAGCTCCCCGATGAAATTTTAAATACACAAAGAGAAGACAGGAAATCCCGTGTTTCTTAACCATTTTGGAATGAGAGACCCCTATGAATACTGACAAACACTATCAACCACATACTCAGAAAAATGCCTGGGTGATGATAGGAAACAATTGGCATTCATTATCAGGGGATTCTTGCCCTGCTGGAAGTCTAACCACAGGCTCAGTTTCAAAAGTCCTGTTTTAAACAATTAGAGAAAGATAAAATGCTGAGATGTGTGGGGTTGGGTGCAGAATCAGCTCTCCTGAGCCCATTGTCCCTCTGGAGACCTGTGTTCTTGAGTTGCCCACCCACCTGTTTCTGGGTCAATGCCACCCCTCAGTCACCAGTAAGAAAGATCTGCTTCCTTGGGCCTGCGGTCTATGTCATTTGAGCTGATGTGAGATGCAGCATGGTGCCCCCGAGGCCTGCTCCCCTGCGGCCTTCCTACTCCTTATCTTTGTGTGTCATGTTTTCCAGCCAGCGCATCTAATGGGAGGTCATGGTACTCTAGCTCGGCATTTTCCTCTGAGTGTTTTTCCATGAGTCAAGGGCAGCCCTCTGGGAAGCAGGACGTACATGCTGCCTTCTCAGACTCTTGTTCAGTGGAGCATGGGTTCAAAATAAATGTTATTCTCACTTCAAAATGTGAACTTTGCCATATGCCCACCTGATCCATGGAGAGAGCTAAGGCAGGCAGAACGGAAATGTGGGTGAACTCTCAGGTCCTGTGGGGCCAAGAGTAGGCACCTGAGGGCTGCCATTGGCTATGCTTGACAGCTTGGCAGTGGCAGCAGAGGTGGCCACGAAGCTGGCTCCTCAGAGCCCGATGTTTGGCTCCTGCATGTGTGGTCTCATGGCTGCTGCAATAAGTTGTAAAGTGTCTCCCAAATTTTCATGTTCACCTGCCACCTGGGAATGTGGCCTTATCTACAAATAGTCTTTGCAGAGGTCTTCATTAAGGATCTTGAGATGCAATCATATTGGATTTCAGGCAGTCCCTAAATTCAATGACTGGTGCCCTTAAGGAAGAGGAGAATACCCAGGGAGACAGAAAGAAGAGTGCCATGTGAAGATGGAGGTAGAGACTGGAGTGATGCTACCATAGCCAGGAAACACCTGGAGCTAAGAGAAGCTGAAAGATGCAAGGAAGGGGTCACCTCCAGAGCATGGCCCTGGAGAAACCTAAGATTCCTGGCCTCCAGAATTGTGGAAGAATAGATTTCTTTTGTTTTAAGTCATCAGGTTGTGGTACTTTGTTATAGCAGCCCTAGGGAACTAGTACAACTGCCTTCTAATTGCTGTAGATGACAAATGGGCTGACCCCTGCGTGAGTGGAGACCCCTACTCGAGGCTACCCTGGATGATGCTGATGGAGGAATGACTGAGGTCCCAGAGCCTCTGGTGTGAAGAACCTGCAGGTCTTGGAGGTGCTAATTTATTGAAATATTCAGCAAGTTGCCTGACCTTTCTGTGTATTGGTGTCTGTGGCCAGATAGAAATCCACATCTTCCCAACTTCTACTTGCCCACCTGAGTTCCCACCTGAACTGAAGAAATGCTAGCTCTCAGTCCAGCCTTGTGAAGAGAACCACATACTACCCTCCAAATTCACCCTGCTTTTTTCTTTCCTCCTCAATGTCTTTGCTTGAAGTTTCCTCTCCATCTGGGATAATCCTTCTCATATTCATCCAGTGTTAAACCCAAAATGAATTAATTATTATGTGTCATCTCTTATACTAAACTATAAGTTACTGGAGGTAGAGGTCATTCACACTCATCCCACAGCCAACCCTGAACACAGCATTTTGTAAAATCCTCATTTGTAGTTCATGTTACACAATATCCAGTATAAAGGAAGAGTTTAAATTCATTGCAAATGCTAACGGTGATGTGCTCATTTTGGTATTATTAAATGGCAAAGAACCTCATGTTTTTCCTCATGAGATTTTTCTCTTCAGTTCTAATCCCAAATGTCATTGAATTTGGTTAAAATTACAGAAGATTGTATCATGTTTTTGTAGGTAGAAGTCAAACCTTAGAGTCAGATAACTTGGTTTCCATCCTCCACCATCTACTTCTCATGCAGCTCTGGGTACAGCTAATGCTTGATGTGCATGTGGATTCAGATGACTCTGTCGATAGGGATAGTAAGGCTCATCTCGCTGAGTGTTTAAAGGATGTACGAGTCCTGTCAGATGGATGGTGGCCATTGGATGTTAACTCCTTTATCCCCCTATTTTTTTTTTTGAGACGAGGTCTCACTCTGTCGCCCAAGCTGGTGTGCAATGGTGCAATCTCAGCTCACTGCAACCTCTGCCTCCCAGATTCAAGCAATTTTCCTGCCTCAGCCTCCTGAGGAGCTGGGACTACAGGCTCACACCACCATGCCTGGCTAATTTTTGTATTTTTAGTAGAGATGGGGTTTCACTACATTGGCCAGGCTGGTCTCGATCTCCTGACCTTGTGATCCTCCCGTTTCGGCTTCCCAAAGTGCTGGGATTACAGGTGTGAGCCACTGCGCCCGGCCCCCCACCCCCCCATCTATTTTTATTGGCTCTCTTTTATTTCAAGATGGCAAGTGAAATATATTCAATGCAAGGTATTTCTTCACATCAAGAAATAATGGCAAATACATACATAGTTCCTACCATGTGTAAGGCAATGTGCTAAATACTTAAATATATTAATTCATATAATTATAAGATTATTCTTCTCATCACACAGATGAGGAAAAACTTAGTCATGAAGAGGTCCAGTGACAACTTGTCCAGGTTTTCTTAGTTAAGGGTGGAGTCAGGGCTTGAAATCAGGCAGTCTGGCTCCAGAGTCTGAGATCCTAATTACTACACATACTGCATTCAGCATTCAAGTTATTGAAATAAATGGGCAGAGAACACATGGGCCTATTGAATAGCCCAGTTGGAACCCAGATGTGCTTTGTTTGTTTGTTTGCTTTAATCAGTGGCAGAATCTTGATAGCTGACCTCCCTGAGCCTTTTATATCAATAATGGGAGCAATGGCCAAAACTCAAAATAATTTAGCAGTGGTTAAAGCTTCCTTCCTTTTAGGACTACTCTAGAAAAACAAGTCATCGAGAATAATGATTAACTGTGTTGGTTTTTGTACAGAAAGAACTGGGGTTGAAGCCACTTACTAACCCTAGGATTTGGAGCTGAGTCTTAGTTTCCTCTCTGGTAAATTCCTCATAGGAATTTATTGAAGATTAAGTGAGCTACTGAACATAAACTGCCTGGCCAAAAGTAACAACTGATACGTGGTGTTTTATCATTATGAAGATCATCTAGTCAAGGGTTTTCAGTTTATTACCATAATATGCTAGTGTGCCACTATCACTTAGGAAGTTTTTAATTCCATCTAAGTAATAATAAAAACATCAAAATTTGTAAATGATAAATCCTTTATTTTTTATAGGTTAAAGTATAATAATATTTTTCTCTGCATTAAGGTCACGGTTGCTTGCATTTTTCACATTGTTTCTTGAGGACTGAGGAAGGGGTAAAGTCAGTTGGTGAGGAGGGAACTGTGCACAAACTAGGTATATGCAAGGAAATGTCAGATGTCAAGTGGAAGGTGGTGGAAAAACAAATCGAGGCCCTCAGCACTCACCAGATTCCCTACCTTAGTGGTAAAGAATGTACCTATGAGATATAGTCACCTGGGAGGGCTGAAGTTTAATTTATATACAGTGTGCTAAGCACTGTTTGCAGGAGTAAAAAATGTGCCTTGTTCTTATTTGTACAACTTATTTCCAAATATGTGTGTGTGTGCATGTGTATGTGTTATGTGTGTGTACACCATTGGGGTTAATACAAGTAAAAAGTCATTTAAAGGCATAACTAAATTCATAGTAGCTGCTTGTCATTACATATTTCATAATTAGCAAATACTAAAAGTGTCATAGATGTAGAAGTAAGAAATATTTTTGAGATTTACAAAGGCATCACATACTCTAAAAGAAGGAGAAGCCCCAAGTAACTGATGAAAGTGTGTGGCCCAGGGTCTGTCACGCTCAGCTGCTCAGTGATCATTTCTGTCGGTTTTCTCGAAGTGGTGGAATATGCTGGTGCCTCTTGTCAGGGAAGGGGCATCACCCAAGGCTGCAGGCCAGGAAGAAAAAGAATCAGAACTCTGGGTGGATCTAGACTGGAGTAAAATCCAAGGCCATGAGAACATGGCACTGTAGAGGGCCTTCTTGTAGAGGCAATGATTCTTGTATTTGTAGATATGTAGGTTGTTTTCAAGAAGATCTGTTCAAGTTTGTGTTGAGGCTGTAAAGCCAGGTCTAGCTCCAGGGAAAGGGCTGGCAAGGGTAAACTAAGGGGAAGTTTCTGGTCAGTTGGGCTAGGGTTAGAGCTTCCAAGGGGATGTTGGAAATGGAATGAAGAAGCAAGGACCAGACTAGAAGGACACAGAGATGCTGCCCATGCATAGTTGGGGACAGTAAGGGGATTGCAGCCCAGTGTCCAGGGGGCACCTGGCAGTGAAGTTTGTTCTAGACACAATTGACACAATTTATTTGGGGAGTGGGTTCCAATTTATATGGGGAGAGGGCCCTTTATTTCAGAAACTAATGGTGCTGGGTCTGTAGGAATAGATCGTTCCTTACAGCTTGGAAGGTCAAAGCCAGTCAGAAAAAAAATGTATGATTTTCCCTCTCTCAGCATCCTACATGAGTGGTCATCCATTCTCTGCTGATACATCTTTAGTGATATCAGTCCCTTTAGGGTGAAATGGGTTCATAATCCACTCAGAAGAAGAGACACCTGTTGTTTGTTTTATTGGAGATGGGATACCAATGGGGTGTTACAGCTTGTCCCAAAAGGCTATTTGCAAGGTTGTGATGTCGTATGGGAAGTTTGTGAGGTTCTGAGTTAGGATCTGATTACGTTTGCAGAAGACTGCAATGGCATATTTGAATACAAATAAAATAGTTATATGGGGAGTGCGTGTGTGTATGTGTGAGAGAGAAAGACAAGCACACAGACAGACAGACAGATATAGACTAGAAGAGAGAGAAATTTATCCTTCAGTGTTGAAAATATGGCATCCTTTCAGGAAGTAGGACTTAGAGTACAAAAGTTTTCTTTCAACTCTATACTTCTGGAATTCTCTCAGTGTCCCTTTTTGTCAATTTGTATTATTGTTTTAACTGGTAATCATTGCACACGTATGCTATACCAGGCACTGGGTTCCGTGATTTTTATACAATGTAACACCTAATCCTTGCAACACAGGTAGTGTCTATAAAAACCTCAAAAGGACAGGCTTGGCAGCATTTCCAGGATAGCTGAACACGGGGAGGTTCCTGGAGGGTGGCACACCCAGGGAGGGCATGGAAGCTCCACGCCCCCTCCCCTATACGCACCCTGTGCAACTCTGCATCTGTATCCTTTGTAATATCATTTATAATAAACCAGTAGACATGATTCCTTGATTCGGGAGCCACCCTAGCAAACTAATAGAATCCAAGGAGGGGGTTGCGGGAACCCTGATTTATAGCCGGTCAATGGTAAGCATGGGTAAGACAACCTGGGACTTGTGATTGGCATCAGAAGTCAGTGGAGCCTTGTGGGACTGAACCCTCAACCTGTGTGATCTGACACTATCTCCAGGTAGACAGTGTTAGAACTGAATTAGGGGACACCCAGCTGGGTGCCACTAAATAAATAATTTGCTGCAGAATTGATAGATTAGTGGTTGCTGGGGGGAAAATCCCCACACCCTTCTGGGTGACTACAGGTTACAGAAGTCTTCTGTATTGACTATTGAGAGTACAGTAGGAGAAACTGACTTTGTTCTTCCTGCTCAAGCCCCTATGCAAATTTCCTTATTTCTATACTTTCTTGAGCCTAACATTTACATTCTCTTATTGGACTCTTAGAAGCTAGAATCAAAATCTTAGAATTATTGTGAAAACCTTTCTCCCAAACTGTGTGTAATGGAATCACAAATTTAAGTTCCTACCTAACACAGATGTGAAAAGAATTAAATCTGAAATTTCACTTTTGCCTATGATTAATTTGGTTTTTCTCCTGAACTTCCGCTTAGTGGGAAAATAAATTAAGGACATGTCGAGTCTGATATAACCTTAGTCCAATTTTGAAAGTTGGGAAGTTAAATAATCCCTTCAGGTAGTGTTCAATCTCTCCCTAGAGAGAAAAAAAAGCCTCTAGCATTTGGGCATATGGGAGAGGGGTGCACGTCACTTGGAATGATGCAGACATATAAGTTAGGATATATAATGCTGGCTTCAGGGCTGGACACAATGGCTTATGTCTGTAATCCCAGCACTTTGGGAGGCCTAGGCAGGAGGTTAGCTTGAGGCCAGGAGTTTGAGACCACCCTGGGGAACAAAGTGAGACTCCATCTCTACAAACAACAACAACAATAATAACAATAATGCTAGCTTCTGTAACAAACAACCCTCCAAAAATCTCAGTGGCTTAACGCAAAGGCTTATTTCTCATCCACGTCACAGTTGGATGTGGAAAGGGTAGCTTTCCTTAAAGTGGTGACAATCATTCATGCTCTCTTTTCATCTCTTTTTTAATCTCTATCAAAATATCCATCTCCCTCTCTGTCCCTCTTCCCTCAGTACATGACCTGAGTGTTTGCTGTGGCGGAGGAAAGAGAATGATGAAGAATTGGGTATGGGGTTGATGATGACCAGGCCTGAAGCGGTGGCCATCAACACTGCTCAGATTCCATTTACCAGAACCTGGTCACAAGGCCCCAGCCTCACTGCAAGAGCAGCTAGTAAATGTAGTTTCTCTATGAGCTCAAGGAGAGGAAACCAGATTGGTGGGATCTGGCCATGGTCGGCTACAGTGAGGAATCGCTCCCCAGCCCTCCTGCTATTTCCTCCTATGAGTGCTGGCTGGCAGTGTCCCTTGTCTGCGTGGTCCTCTGTTTCTGACACTGAAGTGGGTGGCTGGTGCACTCAGGCTCATTTCTCTTGTCTCAGCCAACACTGCCAGGGGAGCTCCCTGCCTGACTTGGCCTCACCTTGGCTGCCACAGGCATCTTACTACTGGGCCTCACACCATGTCTCCTGTCAGTCTACTGGCCAGAAAGTCCACCCCCAGGCCCTCCTGTGGGGTCATTTTGCTCTGCCATGGACCTTTCTAGGGGGGCACCAGTGGCTCTCAGCTCAGCAGCCATATCATCCAGGAACTGGCAGTGGTTTAGTCAACCTAAACACAGGCTTCCCTTCAACCACACGCCAGTGATGACCTCTGGCTAAGACCCAGGCTGCTGGGAGGCTGCTTGTTAGCAGGGTTCTTTCCAGAGTCTCCAAGAGAAACAGGATGCATGGTCCTCCCATGAGTGCTCCTATTAAGTTATCTAATTTACCTTCTGTTTCTGAGCCTAAGTCCACAAAGAGGAAGGGGAAGAACTGCTGTTCTCTGTGCCTCATCCCCTTCCTTTCCATGAGACCCAGGATCCAACAAAGGGTGGGATTTTCTTCCACATCCCTCAGCCACAGCCTCTACCTCGCAGAGTGGGCCTTTGCACCAGAGAATAAACACTTGTGATTGAGTCCTGGTGCTGACTGAGATCAGGTGTTGATGTGTTAAAGAAGATAAAAAGATTTGGATAATCCTTTCTCAAGATAATTGACTGGCTTGCCAGCAGTGGTAGAGCTTTGACAATCTACATTTTGACTTCCATAATTGAATATCATCTCATTTTTTCTTCTTTACATTAATTCTATGATAATTTCTAATCTTTCCCAGGTAGGCATATGCATAGGGTAGAGGGGAAAGGAATGTGTACTTAGGCAAAAGAGAAATGACATTAATTTAAGCATGCTTCCGTTTAAGGGGGATCCTTTTAGGAATATAGGCCAGGATGCATTCATTTAACAAATATTGATTGAGTACTTTCTGAACACTGTTCTAGGTAACGTGGATACTGCAGTCAACAAGGCAGATAAAAATTCTTGCCCTTAAGAAGGTTGGGTTCTAGTGGAGTAGAGGGACATAGACATAATCACAGCGTAAGTAAGTATAGAGATATATTGTTAAATATTGTTAAGGGCTAGGGAAAAAAAATGAAGCAGAAAGGGCGATATGAAATGCCAGGTGAAATGCTAGATAGGGTGAACAGAAAAGGCCTCAAGAGGCTGGGTGTGGTGGCTCATGCCTGTAATCCCAGCACTTTGGGAGGCCTAGACGGGTGGATCACCTGAGATCAGGAGTTCGAGACCAGCCTGACCAGCATGGAGAAACCCCGTCTCTACTAAAAATACAAAATTATCCGGGTGTGGTGGCACATTCCTGTAATCCCAGCTACTTGGGAGGCTGAGGTAGGAGAATTGCTTGAACCTGGGAGGAGGAGATTGCAGTGAGCCAAGATCACACCATTGCACTCCAGCCTGGGCAACAAGAGTAAAACTCTGTCTCAAAAAAAAAAAAAAAAAAAAAAGCCTCAAGAAGGTGGTTTCTGAGTAAAGATCTGAAGGAAGTGAGACAGTGAGCCATGCAGATTTTTGGAGAAAGAACATTCCAGGAGGAGGAAATTATAAGGGTAAGGATCTGGAGCAGAAGCCTTGCTGGCTTCCTGGAGGAATATGAGGAAGTCAATGGCCAGACATGTAAGTGGAGAGAGTGGAAGGTGATAAGATCACAGAGCAATGGAACTGGGGTTGCAGATGAGGTTGAGCCTTTGCCTTTCACTCTTCATAAGATGGGAAGCTGTTGGGGGCTTTGAGCAGATCAGTGATCTGATCCACCTTTGTTGTAACAGAGCAGCTCTGGGCCAGCATTATCCCTAGGGTTAGTGCTACAGTGGCCCATCTACCTCTGCTTGAATTGGTACAGGGGTAGGAATGTGTGCTTTCATAGGAAAATCTGTAGAGGCTGGCAGGCTTAATTGTCAGGCGACTCTGTCCTCTTCTTTCAGTTCCTATAGGACAGGGGTTGGCAAACTACTGCCCACAAGCCAAATCTGCCCTCGTCTGTTTTTGTAAATAAAGGTTGATTATAACACAGCCATGCTTATTCATGTATATATTGTCTCTGGCTGCTTTTGTGTTACAATGGCAGAATTGAGTAGCGGTGACAGAGACCAAAGTGTACGCAAAGCCTAAAGTATTTACTAATTAGACCTTTTAAGAAAATGCTTTTGACCTCTGTTATGGGAGACAAATACTGGAAAAACAGCTAGGAAGGAAAACCAAAGGCATATGAGGTGTGGGGCTAAAATAGATTTAAAACTAAAAGACATCAAAATAGGATACGAATTATTTATACCAAAGAAATACCACAAAAGGAAAACAAAATAGAAATTTAGTTGAAATATGATGTCTTAGAAGTTTGGAGATTTTTGGATGTGAGGAATGAAGGTCATAAGTTTGTTCCGTAGGTAACAACATTGAAGAAGAATTTACCTATTGAATACCTGCTTTCCCCAGGAGGGAACCCAGTGGATCACAAGAGAGGCTCAAAAATTCCATCACGAGTTAGCTTGACTACATCTATATTTGACCTGATTTGCTAATTGCCTTGCCTTCATTTTAAGTGTATTGCTTAAGTATATGCTGATTTAGTATAAGAGATCATCAACCCCTTTTCATTATCAGCTTCTGTATATTAATGTCAGATAATGGCTAGTAATAGCCTTAGTACTCTTAGAAGTATGTTTAATTTTGCAAAAATAATGGGGGCTTTCTTGTCCTTTCAGCCCCCGTTCTATGCTTCATTCCATTCTGCCTAACATCACCAGCTCAGCTGGAGGCAGCCTCTCTGAGAGGATACTTCTTGCTAACACAGGACTACCAGGCCCTGGGTGGACACCTCGCAGCTCCTTTTTTACCTGAGCTATCCATGAAGCAGCTGCCTGGCCTCCTAAGTGCCTGACTTCACCAGTTTAATTGGTTCCACTCAATGCACACACAGTCACTAAGACATTTTCCAAATTACTTATAATTAATGCTCTAGTCATTACAAATGAGCTGTCTCAGGCCAACTCCAATTCCCTATTCAATGGCCCGCATAGGCAGTACAGTCAGAGTGGGGTCACAGGTACCACAGTCACCTGAAAGGAAGGAGCTCTTTCTCTCTGTTTCCCAGAGTCGTGTCTGTTGCTGCTAATGAAGTCATGCTGGTAAATGGTTTGGCATAAATGACAATTAATTAAGGTGCCTTTTGCAGTTTGGTATACTTGAGGACTTACCAAAATATCACGCACCTAGGGCCTTTAACACTGTTCCAAGAATATGCAGTTTCACGGCAGCAGCTCATATACCATGCCTTGGAGTACTTGTGGCCTCTGGAAAGTTAACATAATCGCCCACTCACCCAAGTACGTAAAGGGTATCTGTTGCCAAGGCTGCACCAGGTCCATGCAATGACTTTGTAGAATTTTCTTATCCCTGTGAAAGTTGAGGCTGCAGGGCCATCTCTGGCCTTGATTTAACTAACTTTGTAGAAGCTTTCGGTGCTACCTTTCCAGAGCTTCCTGCCTGGAGCTGCACTAGATGAGAAACAGAGTGCTTTCTTTCTTTAAGAGGCTTTGTGTCAATGTTAGAGGAGTTGGTTATTCCTTCCTCATGGCCACCCTGGTCTCATCTGGCCTATACCTTCACAGGTTGGTAAATTTTAAGCCCTATGAGTATTCATTTACTTAGAACCACAGAAAAATGGACTCATCAGGCAAGGAGGAATACGAAATTTTCAGGGTTGCAACCTAGTGCTCACAACCCAGTGTGAAGAACTAAGTCTGGCCCAGGGCACACTCAATGCTTAATACTGACAGCTGAGATGAGATGATGTTGTACCACCACTGACCGGATGAACTTACGAATAGTAGAAACCATTATAGTCACCAAGTGATGTCTAAGCTGGGCTGTGAAAGATAGGAAGGAGCAGAGCGTGTAGAAGTGAGGAGGACATTCCAGGCCCAGAGGACAACTTGGGCAAAAGCAAGGAAGTAGGAAAGAAATAGAGATGTCCAAGGAATAGATAGTGGTTAAGGTGGCTATAGTCCTGGTACATAAAAAGGAGAAATAGAAGCTAGTTCTAGAAAAAAAAAAATCTATTGTGTGCCAGGCCCTATCTTGGTACTGTGAATGACATAAAGAGAAATGAGACAATATAATAATAAAAAGGATATGGCCCCCTCCTTCAAGGAGCTTAATGTCAAAATGAGCTTCCATATAGCATCGTGGCAGCAGCAACAGTTTGCTGAAGCAGTAGGTTTGCATTCTGGGTGAAGTTCTAGAAGAGATCCTATGTGCATTTTAGCTGGGAGATCCTCATGGGATTCCTATTCATAGTAGTTGGTGCTGCCACAGTAGGAGAGCTGGTAGAAAGGAGTTCTAAGTTATGATGATTAATTTTATGTGTAAACTTGACTGGGCCATGGGGTACCCAGACATTTGGCTAAACATTATTCTGGATATGTCACTGAAGGCATTTCTGAATGACATTCCCATTTGAGTTGGTAGACTGAGTAACACAGATTACCCTCCCTAATGTGGGTGAGTCTCATTCAATCAACTGAAGACTTGAATGAATAAAAAGCCTGAGTAAGAGGAAACTCCTCCTGCCTGACTTCTTGACCTGGGACATTGATGTTTTCTGGCCTTTGGACTTGGACATTGGCTTTTCTTAGGTCTTGAGCTTGCTTTCTTTTATACTGGAACTTACACTTTTGGCTCTTCTGGGTCTCAGGCCTCCAGACTCAGACTGGACCTACACATGGGCTTTCCTGGGTCTTTAGATTTGCTGACTACAGATTTTGGGACTTCCCAGCCTTCATAGTTGCATAAGACAATTTCTTATAATAAATGTGCATATTGTATTTTATTTATTTTGTTTATATCCTGTTAGTTCTCTTTATCTGAATGTATTAGTTCATTCTCACATTGCTATAAAGAACTACCCCAAACTGGGTAATTTATAAATAAATGGGTTTTAATTGGCTCACAGTTCTGCAGGCTATACAGAAAGCATGGGTGGGGAGGCCTCAGGAAACTTACATTCATGGCGGAAAGTGAAGGGGAAGCATGCACCTTCTTCACTTGGTGGAATGGGAGAGCGAGCGAGCTAAGGGGGAAGTGCCACACACTTTTAAACCATCAGAACTCTTGAGAACTCACTCACTATCACAAGAAGAGCAAGGTGGGAAATTCACCCCCATAATCTAGTCACCTCCCACCAGGTTCCTCCCCAAAGATTGGGAATTACTATTCAGCAGGATATTTGGGAGGGGAAACAGAGCCAAAAAATATCACTGGAGAATCCTGACTTATCCATAAGACCAGTTGACATTCAGGAACAATCCATTAGTCTCTACTTTTCAAATTCCATGATGCAGTATATTCTCACCTTTGAAAAGTTCAGGTCATGCTTCTTTTTGTCCTCTGCCTAGCCTGGCAGGCTGAGAGTTCCTGCTGTAGAAAGACGGGTTGAAGGTTAAGAGGACATAAAGTTCCCCATTCCTGGCTTTCAACCACTTCAGATCACCCCTAAGCTTTTGGTGTATCCCTGGCTCAGACTCCTTCTACGGGAACTCTGTGGCTTCAATTTCAGGGCACAGTGGGTCATCTGGAAAATGACGTCTTATTTTGCGGTGTTGCAGGGAATTGCTATCAGATACACACCATATAGACCAGTGCCATTAAAGGGAAGGAATTATTACCCTTCACCTATTCTCTTCTTGTGTCTTATCAAAAGGATTTGCCATTAACTAGAAATTTTTCCTTCAAGATTTTCACTTTGCACCAACTGCAGTGAATGAAGCTAAAGGAAAAGGCAACTCTCCAGGCACAGGGGTATCGTGAACTACCCACACAGCTCTGGCTCTTTCTGGTGAATCAAGCTGGATTCGTTTGTTCTCAGTCTCATCCATGCATATACACAGAAATGCACAGGGAGGTGTGGAATCACACTGAAGAATATTTTTATACAATGTCAAAAAGATGCGGTCTCTATGCAGTGCAATACGAAGATAAAAACTCTTTGTACTTACAGATTATTTCATCTTAGCCCAAAGTGCTTTCCTGTATCTATTCTAGCTCCTTTATCTACCTCCCAGTTCATGAAGTCAAAAGTAGAAGGGATGATCCTCCTCTTGGAACATGAAGAAATTTAGGGTAAGATGGATTAAGTGATTTGCTGTCAGTCATGTGGTGCAGAGTCCGGATCGGAAACTTGGTTCCTCTCTCCTTCTCTCCATCCCTTGTTCCCATCTTTCTGTCTTCCTTCTTTTCCTCCTTCATTAGATATTTGTAAGGAACCTAGAGGTAATTTCCTAGGTGCTGGTGATATAGAAACGAGGAAGACAGAGCTTCTGCCTCTAAGACAGTCTCCGTGAAACAGGAAATACAGACATGTAAACACATAAGTAGAACGTAATACTGAGAAATAACAGTAGAGCTTTGAACAAGGCAATGCACGACATCCCATGTTAGGGGAGGCTAAATTCTCCTAGACGATTTGTAGAAGATTTTACCCTGGAAGTAACACTTGAGTTAGGGATGGAAGGAAGTGTAGGAATTTTACAGGTGAAAGAAAAGGGACATTTCAGACAGAGGGAACAGAGCGTGCGAAAACATAACCATGTGCAAGGGCATCCTATGGTCAGGGAGCTGCAAGACTGACAGTTTTATTGCAGCACAGTGGGCTCTCTTCTGAACAGCTGATGCTGACTTCCAACAGGAAACACTAACCCTCTAATCATGGCCCTGCCACAAGAAGAGAGTCCAGGAGACGTATCGTAAACACTGCCTGACATAGATTAATCCTGCCTGCCTGTTGCCAGCTTTTGATGACTGTTCCTCTTTCTTCAACAATGAAGAGAGCCATGTCAGTCTAATGACTGTCATATTATCTCCCATTAACTTCATTATTGGACACTAACTGTTTCTAGTAATAATTCATTCACTGGTAATGACTTGGTGTCCAATGCCTGGATAATTACTGTCACAAATGCGATCAGACGGGTGCTTGGGGTTGTTTTCTCCATCTGGGACTAGGGTGCAAATCAACTGAGGGCTCAGAGCTTGTGGGGTTTTCCTGGATGTGACAAAGGAAAATCCCCTCCTGAGTGACAGGGATGGAGATTTCTCCTGAGGACTGAAAACTCAGAAAAGCTTTTTCCCTGCCCTTGGGCTTGGGAATAGCCACGTGGGTCTGAGTGCTATGTGCGTGTGTGTGCATGTGATGCATGTGTGGGTCACATGTGACGTGTGTGCTCAGTGGAAACATGAAACCCTTCTCATACTCTAAGGCCAGTAATTCATATCTGGCTGGAAGCTTCTGGTGAATTAAGTTTTATAATCCATGACATACAGAAACCTCCACTCCCATATTACTCAAATTCCACTCTAATTATCCACATTTATTGTGAGCAGAGATATGCTGCTTGTTTGGAAGGCCAAGAATGGGGTTTCTCAAATTGCCAGTGGTTGAGGGTAATGTTAGAAAGAGGAATTAAATCTGCCATAGAATTTAGGGGTGGGCTGAAATGAAGTATTGCAGTGTAGAGAGAAGGGACCAGCTGGGGAAGGAGAGAAGATGGACAGGGGCCAATGAGGAGAACTCTCAGTGGGCCAGAGACCTCAGATCACCCTGCTGAGCTACCCCACTACCACTGTAGGGAAAGACAACTTCTATCAAAGCAAACTCTCCAAATCCATAGGCTAAGGAAGTTGGGATTGTTCAGAAAAGGGTTCAACTTTATTATTCCATGAAAAATTGCACCTTGCTTATACCAGAGAGCGTTCTCGAAAATTGCAAAAAGTTACCAAGTTTTTTTTACCTGCATAGTAATTTTTTAAACTTTCGTATTTTTAATTTTTGTGAGGACATGGTAGATGTATATATTTATGGGGTACATGAGATGTTTTAATATAGGCAAGCAATGCATGATAATCACATTATGGAGAATGGGTTATTCATCCCCTCAAGCATTTATCCTTTATGTTACAAACAATCCAATTATACTCTTTTAGTTTTTATTTTAATTTTATTTTATTTTAGACAGGGCCTGGCTCTGTCACCCAAGCTGGAGTGCAGTGGCATGATCTTGGCTCACTCCAACCTCTGCCTCCCATGTTCAATCTAACCTCCCACCTCAGCCTCTGGAGTAGCTGGGACTGCAGGTGCACTACCATGCCCATTTAATTTTTGTATTTTTTTGTAGAGTTGGGGTTTCCCCATGTTGTCCAGGTTGGTCTCCAACTACTGGGCTCAAGTGATCTGCCTACCTTGGTCTCCCAAAGTGCTGGGATTACAGGCATGAACAACCATGCCTGGCCTCTTTTAATTATTTTAAAACATACAATTAAATTATTATTGACTATAATCACCCTATTGTGCTATGAATTAGTAGGTCTTATACATTCTTTCTATTTTTTTTGTATCCATAGTCATTTTTTTATTTTTTGAGATGGAGTTTCACTCTTGTTGTGCAGGCTGGAGTGCAATGGCACGATCTTGGCTCACTGCAACCTCCGCCTCCCGGGTTCAAGTGATTCTCCTGCCTTAGCCTCCCAAGCAACTGGGATTACAGGCGCCCACCACCACACCTAGCTAATTTTTGTATTTTTAGTAGAGACGGGGTTTCACCATGTTGGCCAGGATGGTCTTGAACTCCTGAACTCAGGTGATCCACCCGCCTCAGCCTCCCAGAATGCTGGGATTTTACAGGTGTGAGTCACCACCCCCAGCCTCTATAGTAATTCGTGACCTCAGATTCACAGAATTGAATTGATTACAGTCCTCAATTTATGATACAATATTAACATCAATCCATGCAATAATTCTCTTTTATTCTGTTATTTTTGCTGCTGTTTCCTCTCTTCACTCTATATCCCTCCATCTATCTGCACCACCACTTGACTGTTTCATATATATCCTGGATGACTGCATTGGTTTTCTATGGCTGCCTTAACGAGTTACCACAAACATAGCAGCTTTAAACAATGAACATCTATTATCTCACAGTTTGTAGGAAAGAAGCCCAGCGGACTTGACTGGGTTCTCTGCTAAGGGTCTCCCAAGGTTGAATTCAAGGTGTTGGCTAGCCTTGGCTGTTTTCTGGAGGTTGTGGGGAGAGTCTACTTTCCAGCTTATTTGAGTTGTTGGTTGCATACGATTCCTTGCTGGCTGTTTGTGGGAGTCATTCTCAGCATCTAGAAGCTAATGTATCTCTTGGCTTGTACCCCCTCTACCTTCAGAGCTTGCAGTTGTGTGCTAGATCCTTCTTGTGCTTAATCTCCCCAGCTTCTGCTTCTGCCTTCCTGTCTGCTTTTAAGGGGCCATTTACCAATCCCAACAATACAGGATAACCTTCTTATTTTAAGGTCAAATGGTTAGTGACCTTGATTACATCTACAATTAAGTCATATAAATTAACATAGTTACAGTTCTGGGGATTAGGGTGTGGAATCTTCATGGAGGCTATAATTTGGTGTAGCATAATGACTCAACTTTTATTTGCCTATTTTATTTGCTTATTTACAAAAATAGCCTTGAAATTTGTGTGGTTTGTACTAAAAAATTACAGAAACAGTTTTGTGCTCTCATTATTTTTTGCTTTTCCTTACTTATAGATTTTAAAATTTATCCTGTTCATTATTTTTGACAAGTATGTAGCATCCTGCCATATATGTATATTTAATGGATCAAATACATGTATTAAATATATTTCATTTAATTTATCCATTTCCCTATCTGTGAATACCTGCAAACAGAGCTGCAGTAAATATATGTGTCTATATATCCTTATGGACTTGTGTGTCATTTCTCTGGGATATACATCTCGGAGAAGTGCGATTGCTATAGGTAGTAGGGTGAAGCATATCTAATTCCACTAAGCATTTCCAGATTTCCACCTTGAATGGTTGTACCAGTTTGATCTCCTAATAGCAGTGCATGAATGTTTCATTTCCCCACATCCTCGTGAGTGCTTGGTATTAAACCTTGGCTCTGCCACTTTCCTGCTATGTAACCTTGGGTTAAGATACTTAACATCTCTTCCCCTCAGTTTTCTCAACAGTAAAATGGAACGATACTAGCATCTTCTTCATAATGTCCTGTGAGGAGTAAATGAGTCAATGTATGTTTTACTCAGAACATAGTCTGGCCCATAGTAGGTGTTATTATTGCTATTCTGTTATTTTATTTTCAAATGTTTACCATGTACCATGGACAGAAGGTAGCATTTTTTTTTTGTTTTAACGTATCCATTTTAATTGTTAGAGAGGTAGAGCATAACTTCATATACCTCTTAGCTATCCAGATTTTCCTTTATCTTCTTGTGACATGTTTGTTCTATCTTTAATGAACAATATTTTCTAGCGTTTCATGTCCTGTGCCCATCCCCACAAATATTAAAGCCAAATCCCCAAACATAACAGATGTTTAAATTTGTTTATGTGCTGTGAACTGTGCAGGATGATTTTGCCCATGAAAGAGAGTTACTGACGAATATTAGCTCTTGCTTCATGCTGGTGTGTCTAACAAGCACCATCACTATGAAATCGTACTCAACCTAGCTCTCTTTTTGTTCAATCCTTATGGGTGTTTAACCCCAATGCTTAGACAATATCACTATCATTAAGATTGTAGATTTGGTTCTGATCTGGTGTGTCCCAGTTCCCCTCAATCTGTGCTCAGGGCTACAAGTCTACACCCTCACCATCTATTGGTCCCGAAGGGGAAAGTATTACAGAGGTGAAAGTCTGACCCCCTGTAACTCCATCTGGGCCACGATAAAAACAACTGAAGGCAGAGGTGAGCAACAGAAGTCATTTTTGTATAGGGCAAGGATCATTATAGATGGGCTAGTCCATCTGCAGAATGACAAATGGAACTTTATTATGGGTAGAGGAAGCATAATTCATGACTTAAAAACAAAATCAATTTAATTTAGTAATGTATTTTATGGAGTTGGAAATCAGTGACTTCAAACCCCAAAATAATAAAATAGTCTCTATTTAAACTCAACTGAATTGTTATTCTTCATTTCTTATTTTTTCACCTTGTTAATTATAAAGGCAGTTGAAATATTATTTTTGAAATGTTGCAAATGGGCTATAGTCTCTGTGTGGTATTTGACATACCCAAGGGACAATGTATTCTTACTGTTATTCGGCATTCTTTTTTTGTACAGTTTTTAAAGTTAATGTTTCCTGCTTTGGAAATCTTTAATTAAAAATGGCCACATGGCATTAGAGGCAAACTCCCTAGAGACTAAGCCCTGCAGGTGAGATTGGATGATGTTGGAGCAGATGGCAAGATGTTGTCTGCTGGGATGGGAAATCAGGTTTGTGGTTTGAAAAGGCCAGAGGGAAAAAAGAAGGAAAGAAAGATCTGCTGTGTTCAAGAGTAAAGAGAGCCCTACTAGACCAATCGGTGTTTAGAGCAGGAGTTTTAGCTGATTCTGAGTAATTGATAAAGAGGCTCTCTCCTCATCAGGTATGGGCAGTGCAACACTCTGCTTGGGGTTTGAATGGTTTCCATGGAACAGCTTCTGACTTGAAGGTGAAAAGCAGAATTGTTTTGAATCATGTTATTTTCTAAGCCCATAAGAGTAGTTTTCCTCCCAGGCTTTAGTGTCTGGCCAAAAAAAATCTGCATCTATAGATTATGTACACATCATCTATAAAAATAGATATAGATAATAACCAAACACCATGGAGTGATGCATTTTTCTTCCCCTCTCCCCCGAAATGTTACAATGAATTATGAAAAGGTTAATCTGTTTCACCTAAACAGAGGGGAAAGCCATCTGTAGCAGGCCCTGCCTCAGGCTTCCCGTGAAGACGTCTACCTGTGAGCAGCTGGGTGGGTTGGTGAGTTGTCTCAATGCTTAACACATTTCCAATATCAATGACAGTGGGTCTTATAATCCATGTGATGGCTTTCCAGTCACTGGGGCAACAACTTGAATTCAGGAGCCCTGTCCTGAACAGAAACACTGGATAATTTCTACTCTGGTCAGGCATGTGCCTGACTGCTGTGTCTTGGAGGGTTTCCATATATCATAATTTTGCTCAAATTTTCCAGAGACATTCTTCTGGCCAACTGTATCACAATATGGTAACAGGAAACTTCTGCTTTTATTTTCCATAAATCCAGCCCTAGGTACAATAATTTCCTGAGTGGAGTCACTCATGTGCCCCAGAAAGCTCCATCAAGGTAAAAGGAGTGTGGGTGGCAGGCTGCAAAGCAGCAAAGGGAGTGTCCATAAATTACCATCAAGCATGATAATAACAACACTTACTGAGTGTTACACATATTTTTGAACATTGTGCTAAACCATTCATATGCATTATCTCAGTGACTTCTCAGTGACCCTATGAAGTACATATTATGATCATTATTTCCACTTTGCAATGAGAAAACTGAAATATGGAGAGGAACACCGACGTGCTCAAGCTAGTAATTAAAAGAGTTGGGGTCGAACTGGATTTTGTATGATTTCTGAGCCCAAGCTATTAACCACCGCTGCAGTAACTGCTGCCCTAGCTGAGAGAGTTTAGGTTTTGATCACTTACTATGTGTAAAGTGCTGTAAGAGGTACAAGAAGCATAGCACATGTTTACAATGAGGGTTAAGAGAGTAGTGGTTCAGATCATGAGTACTTAGTGTTTGGAAAAAGGGAAGTATCTGTGGGCTGGAGTTACCAGGGGAAGTCATTATGGAGTAGGTGGACCTAGAAAACTGGGAGAAGGTTTGGGCCTGACTCTAGGATAGAGAATGCTTTCCAGATAGTAAGGAAAGCTAAATAAAGTCCCTGGACCTTCCTGAAAACATAAAAAAGACAAGAGTCATGTAGTAGAAAATCTTCTGACCTGTGGCTAGAGTGATGTAATGAAGTCCTATGACAATCCTTGCTTTCTCCAGAAAGGCCGTTATTACTATCTGCTATTCCAGGAAACAGGGAAAGACCTGTCTCTGAAAGACTTCCCCAAAGACCTCATTCTAAAGCCTAGTGTAATGAAGCTAGTTGTATTCTAAGGTTCTTTTTGCTTTCTAACACTTGGGAGGATTCCAAAATGGCAGCTACTTTGACAAACTCATGAGGCATTGATGAAATTGTGTCTAGAAGGGAATAATCTGGCATAGGCATAACTGCTTAGCAAGGATTGAGGAGAATTTGGGCCACTGATAGGAACACAGGTCCCCTTCTAAATGAATAGGCAATATCATAGAAAGATGAGTTTTCCCTTTGATGGTGGGTTGTATCCTCCAGTCCATGACATGATCTTCTCCATCTTGAATTATTGGGTGACATAACTTGCACTCCAGCAGAACACATGATTATTATTCAGGAGTGAGTGACTTGAAATTGAAATGCTTGCATGGTCGTGAACTCCATCAGTGTTAAAAATAAATCTTTTTATCTGCTCTGCATTCCTGGGCTGGTACTCTTTTCCATTGGAGCCCCCTTTAAAAGATGTGTGGACTGCACGTTGAACAAGATCGAATGTGACTTTGCAAAAATAGAATGCTTGGTCTCTCCTCTTTTCCTCTCCACTCGACAATGCAAGATAAATTCACTCCACGGGAACCTTTTGTGGGTTGTACTGCTCAGGCAACTTGCAGTTTTCTGGGGGAAAGTCAGCTCACGCTACATTTATCACCCCCTGCTGCTGGCTACAATTCAACCCACTTCGAACCACTGAGCAGAGGTGCTGATGGGGGCTCTGGCATTCGAATTTCACATCATAATGGAAGTGCAGGGAAGCAAAAGACAAATGTATCAGGGCCGCTCCAGGTGTCCACTAAAAAAGAGGTCAAAAAGTATGACACTGGGTGATGGGGACTAAATATGAGTATATTTGCAATAATAAAAATATACAGTTGCTCCCCCCACAACTTTTATATTTTTTGCCTCTGGTAAGCCTGGCTCAAATAGTGAGTTTCCTATTGTGATATGAGAATCATCAACTCTTATCAAGACTGGTAGCCTCGATTTCACTTCGTAATCCACGCACAACTCAACATAGTCAAAACAAATTAATAATAAAAGAACACAACATGCCTTTCCTTTCTTCCTCTACCCAAGGGCATATTCTCTGAAGAAACCAAGAACACAACCACAAAATAAATGTAGTGGATAATTGAGTGAAATTAATATATTAGTCAATATAAGTTAGGTTATGCTGCTGAGATGACCAGCCCCTAAATCTCCCAAAACAAAAGCATATTCCCCATAGCAGTCAGTGGAGGACTCTGCTTCACAGGCCACTCAGGGACCCACGCTGATGGAGTGCTACTTCATCACTGCGCCATCTGGAACACATGGACTTCTGGATAGTTCTGGCAGGAGAGAATGCTGCAGGGTCTCCCACTGTACAATGCAATTCTTTGACTCAGAAGTGAAGCACATCCTTTCCATTCTCAGTGTGTTGGCCAGAACCAGTCACATGATCCTAACTGCAAGGAGCCAAGGGAGCACAATCCATGTGTGCCTGGAGGCAGAGGAGGCTGGGTTAGAGGCGAGCCCTGGATGTTTCTACTTATGTTGTATGAATTCTCTACTACACGTTGGCTTCTTGAAGTAGATCTGAATGGAATAGTAGTGGCTTTTTGAATTTAAATAAGCCCAATATATTTATCATTTCTTTTAATTTCCAGGTTCAGTGATGTTCAAAAATAGTCACAGAGTCACAGGTTTTCAGTACTGAAAGAACCAAATCAATCTTTAATTGAAAGGATGAAAAAACTGAGACCTGGAGAGTTTGTGAGTTGTCCACAATCTCCCCATTGTCAGCAGAGAGAGTTGATTCCCAGGCCCAGTTGATTCCAACAGACAGTTGATTCCCTACATTGAGTTGTCTTTGTTATTTCCCTTGGATGGCATCAGAAGGTAATGTCTGACCAACAACAAAAGTGAAAAGCTGTGAGAATCAATGACAAAGTAGACAGCATATGAATTATTTTCAGTATTAACACCCAAGGTATTTATGCTGTGTTTAGAGCTGATATGGTTTTACATTATTCATCCATTTCTCTACCTGTTATTATTCTTTTTGACTTGTTAATCATAACATTAATGACAATTTTTTTTCCTTCTGATTCAACTTTAAGGTTCGTATTTGGTTCCAGGGCCATATGTTTGTGTTGATCCATGGCATTGTTTCCTAATGTTTTTATGCCATGGCAAACACAGAATATGTTAATATTGGACAGTATATTGGAGTAAGACCACCGAGACTGCTCAGTCCTAGAGATAGTAACTCACAAGTTCTGGCTGCCTTAGGCCCCAAGCCTGGCCAACTAAGGAATTGGAGATCAGTGCCTTGGCACACAAGTAACCTTGTGATGCATAGGTGGGAAGCCTTCACCTTCAGAGAAAAGCACTGAGCTGAGCTGGGCATACATTTCTCTTTCAAGCTGGTAGAATTTGGGGGAAGAATTATGTCCGTATTTACCTCTGCTGATTTGAATACTTGGAGAGATGTTGGTTGAAAAGATTATTAAAAGGAAAAAGTCACCTCACTTGGACCCCACTTGATCAGGGAAGCCTTCTTGGAAGAGTCAGATTTTTAGCCGTGTTTAGGGAGTACGAATGAATACCCATACCAAGTTAGATAAGCTTGTAACCCTGGAGTGCTATTTAAAGACTTTCTAGAGGCATAATGAAGCCATTTTAAATAAGGGATATTTTCAGCATAAAATGCTTAACAGAACAAATACCTCTAGGCTTCTGCAGGTTTCAGAGGAGGCAGAATGGAAAGCCACACTGATGAAACACCACTAACAGGCAAATGTTCTCTTTTGCCATGAGGTGAGCAGCTCACAGGGTTTAACTTAAGGGAAAACTCTTTGGTGGCTGGCTTGGGTAATGAGTATCTGCTGGGAAGACCTTGTGAGCATTATTTGTGCCCATGTCTGTGCAAAAAATGTCTGTTCCCTTTATGGTATGAGGTTTGAAAGGAAAATGGATTGCATCCCATTGGAAGAAAATAGTTTGATCACTGTCTGGCCCTAGCTTTTTGGTCCTTTATAATTCTTTTCTGTGTCACTGTTTGACATCTATCATTACAATGCTGCCAGACCATTTCCTCCCCTACTTTATACCACGTGGAGATCTCTTTGTGAAAAACAAGGATGCTAATGTTGTTTCCATTGTGTGCATGTACATGTACGTGTGTGTGTGTGTGTGTGCATGTGCGTGTATGCACATGCGCATGCTGAGCATGGACGTATTTGTCTATGGAACATGGACAGGAGGCAAAAATTTCATTCTAACACATTTACTGGCTCTGCCCAGCAATCCAAATGCTGTGGAATAGACAGAAGTAAGTCAGGATGGGAATTGTCCTATCTCAGCATATTAAAAGGTGGGTATGACAAGTAAGTGAGCTGTCAGTTCCAAGACAGAAGGAGGAAAACCCAGAGATGGGTAGGATGATCATATAATTTATCATCCACATTGGAACACTTATAAGAATAAAAGGGGGTGCTATTAATAATTACACTGGGACAACATGTGTAAATTGGGACTGTCCCAGGCAATCTGGGATGAATAGTTAGCTTGGGGGTGGGCTAGGTGTCAAAATGCCAGGAGAGGAATAGCCACATACTAAAAATGGGTCTTTCCATTGGAATGAAGTCAGGAACATGGCCAAGGTTACATGCTGGAATAATGTAATGAAAAATGCAAAAACTGAATGGGGCAGGTGTGAGAACTAAGGTCTTGCATGGTTGATAGAGACTCGTAAGCAAATAAGAGCTAACAAGAATCCTGCTTGGGGAGATGTGGGGCATGCGGACCTGGAGTAATCTAGGGCAGTAAGTTGTTTGCTCCTTTTGAAGGCCAGCAATGGTCTCCCTTCCCCTTGGAAATCTCTTTATCTATCTAAAAGGCAAAGTTCTACCAGGCATGGTGGCGCACACCTGTAATCACAGCACTTTGGAAGCCTAAGGCGGGAGGATCACTGAGCCCAGGAGTTTGAGACTAGCCTGGGCAACACAAAGAGACCACATCTCTACAAAAAAAAATATAAAAATTAGCTGGGTGTGGTGGTGTTCACCTGTTGTTCTAGCTATGTGGGAGGCTGAGGTGGGAGGATCGCTTGAGCCCGAAAGGTCAAGGCTGTAAGGAGCTGTGATTACACAACTGCACTCCAACCTGGGCAACAGAGCAAGACCCTGTCTCAAATAAAGTAAAATAAAATGAAATAAAGTAAAAGGCAATCTTCCTCACACTTGACATCTGTCAGAAATAGGCAATTCATGTTAAACAGAAGCAGTCCAGTACTGCCATGTTTAAAGTTGAAGGGCTAAGGGCACAAAAACATTTCTGGTGGACGACTGTCAGTAATGGATAGGGGGATTCCATCTGAGGGATACCCCCATATATTTACTTCTGATTTGTATTCTACACACAAGACTGCAATAAAGGGAAAAGATAAAAGCCCAAGGATGTCTATATGTAAGATGTTTTTCTTTAAGATGATACATTAGGTGAGGGAAGGGTATTGCTAAGAATCCTAGGAGTGCTGAGCTTTTAGAAGAAAGCATCTGATACTCAGCAGACCATCATCCATTCATTCATTCATTCATTCATTCACTTATTCACTTTTATATTAAATGAGTACCTACTAATATGTAGGTGCTATATTTGGAACAAGGGCTATAGAGATAAATGAAGCACGGTCCCTAACTTGAAGCATTCAGTCTAGCAGAAAAATCCTAAGAAATTACGCTATAATACTAAAGTGCTGAATCAGGAAGAGATAATGTGTTAGGGAGTCAGGAAAGTGACCTTTTGAGCTCAGCTTAAAAGGTATGTGGAGTTTGACAAGTATATAAGGTTAAGAAAGAATTTTCAGGCAGAGGAAGCAGGATGAAGAAAGGAACTAAGACATTAAAAAGAGCATGGAGTGCTTGGGAAAGGAATAAATGCTTAGCTGGACTGAGGGGCCCAGTGCAGGGAAGAAAGGAGTGAGTGGCAAAAAATTCAGTCTAGCCAGGCATGGTGGCTCATGCCTGCAATCCTAGCACTTTGGGAGGCCGAGGCGGGCGGATCACGAGGTCAGGAGATCAAGACCATCCTCGCTAACACGGTGAAACCTCGTCTCTACTAAAAATAGAAAAAAATTAGCTAGGCGTGGTGGCGGGCACCTGTAGTCCCAGCTACTCAGGAGGCTGAGGCCGGAGAAGGGCATGAACCCGGGGGGCGGAGCTTGCAGTGAGCTGAGATCGCACCACTGCACTCCAGCCTGGGAGACAGAAGGAGACTCCGTCTCAAAAAAAAAAAAAAAAAAAAAAAATTCAACCTGGGCCTCTGTTGGGCTGCTGGTCCAGATGCTGAAGTACAGCGATGGCAAAGGAGGAGAGACTCTAAAGAGCTGAAATGAGAAAAGAAGGGTTTGGGGAATTACAATCCAACAAGAAAAGAGAAAACATATACGGGAAATGCACAGATACAGACACCAGTGGGAAGAGGAGCAAAATTCTCAAAAGAACCATTACAAGGTCTAATAGATACGTGCAGCCTGACTTCCCCTAACTGCTTTTCTGGGCCTTGGAGCGGTGGCTGAGCCTCATGGTTACTGGGCCGCCGGGACTCAGCACAGATGTCAGGGTAATGACACCACAAAGCCTTCCATAGAGGGACAAACCCAGCCCATGTCTTGCCTCTAGTAGGCATCTATGGGTAGACAAAGCAGTGGGTTTTTCAGTTGTTTTTTTAAACTGTACTTTTCAAAGCAAAGACAGGGACTCAGTGCATGGGGTGGGCCAGTTGGGCTCTGCAGTCAGAGGCTTTGATAGGAGCTCAGAGTCTACCCCCCTGGCAAAGTCTGTGGCCAGGACTTGAGGAGGCAATGTAGGAAAACACTTTACTAAAATGCCAAGCTACCTGCTGGCACAGATAAGCCTGAAATAAGTCTGTTTTTATGTCAGAAAAACATGAGCCCCTAGATCCTGAGCTGTGTATTCAATAAGAGGCACTCATTCCCACTGCGGTTCTGTTCACTAATTGTCCCTCCAGACTGGCTCCCAGGCAATCCAGATGAAGAGGGGAACTTGGCTCCAAAGCCTAGCTCACCTCTGTCATTATGGTAATGAAATATACAAACCCAAATCATCAAACAAACACACAGACAGAGGGGTGTATTTCTTGTTTATTCATTTTGCAACCCTGCTTGTTTTGGGAAAGTGAGCGCTGCTGACTTCAGCTCAGGAGCACATGACTCTGCTGAATCCCACAGGGAACACACCAATCAGCTCTTTCAAGCCCTACCCATGCCAGCAGTGGTTGAGTGCAAGCAAGGAGGTGAGGTGGGTTAGCACCAGAACCCTGCAGCCTTGTTTTTATCCTTACTTCTCCATTGAGACGTAAGAATGAGGTAGTCACAGGTATATGCCTCCTACCAGCAGCCTTGTGCCCAGTCTTTATTAGAGGGGTCAGAACAAATGTCCCATTCGTTTGTTCAATAAATATTTAAATCTTTGTAAATATTAAGTATTTAATTTAAATGTAAATCTTTTTAAGTTTGAAATATTTAAATTTTTGTAAATATTTATTGAACAATGGCTGTGTGCCAGGGACTGTACCAGGTGCCCTGCACAGAGTGACAAAGAAGATGGCCAAGGTCCATCTAGGGGCTTCCATTCCACTGTGGGGTATAAACAATGAATGAATAAACAAAATAAGTAAGCTGGACATGGTGGCTCATGCCTGTAATCCCAGCACTTTGGGAGGCCAAGGCAAGCAGATCACTTGAGGCTAGGAATTTGAGGATGCAGTGAGTTAGTTGTACCACTGTGTTTCAGCCTAGGCAACAGAGTGAGACCCCCATCTCTAAAAAATTTTAAAAAATAATAATTACAGATTGATTTGTAATACCTAACACCTCTATTTACTGCTTACTAGCCCAGTTCTAAGGCCTCACATATATTTCAGGGTGATCCATATGAAATTGTTGATAAATGACCATACTGACTTACCAAAATGGCAATTTCATAGGTTCAACCTAATGTTTAGCTAGTAAATCTCCACAACAATCCTAGAGATAGGTCCTATAATGACAACTTAATCCATGGAAAGTGGACAAATAAATATTAATAAGTTGCCAAAATTCACAGAGCATGTTTGTGACCGAATCTGGACTTAAATCCAGACAATTTGACCTCAGGATTCATGGTCTCATCTGTTAAGTTCTATACATGAGATGAGTCAGAAACTAGCAAATCCATTTAAGAAGAGATAGCGAGGAAGGGCCTCTCAGAGGAAGATATTAGAGCTGAGACCTGAAGGATGAGAATGATTCAGCTGTGAATTAACCTTGAAGAAATGTCGCTATCATTTGTGACACACTGTCAAACCTATAAGGACAACTGAATTTCTTTTCTTTTCTTTTTATCGAGATGGAGTCTTGGTCTGTCACCCAGGCTGGAGTGCAGTGGCAGGCACGATCTTGGCTCATTGCAACCTCTGCCTCCTGGGTTCAAGCAATTCTCCCGCCTCTGCCTCCTGGGTTCAAGCAATTCTCCCGCCTCAGCCTCCCAAGTAGCTGAGATTATAGGTACATGCCACCATTCCTGGCTAATTTTTGTATTTTTAGTGGAGATGGGGTTTCACCATGCTGGCCAGGCTGTTCTTGAACTCCTGACCTGATCTGCCAGCCTTGGCCTCCTAAAGTGCTGGGATTCCAGGCATGAGCCACCATGCCTGGCCACCGGAATTTCTTATTTGAGGAGTGTAGAGCACATCTCCCATGGTGTTGCTTCCTACTGACCGCCCTAGGGGTGGGCCTCTCCTTTAGGCCTCCATACTATTTCCTGGAAGGAATGTGGCCTGGGAGCTGACCTGATTTATGATCTATCGCTGCTGGTCTCTGTGGATGCAGCAGCTCTAAAGGTCCTTTCTCACCCACGACCTTCGTGTCCTAGGCCCAAGTCAGAAAAACCTAGTAGCAACATAGACTTTTCAGTCCTTCTTCAGTTGAACATACCTTCCATACAAAACAATTGCCTCCTCAAATGCTCATAGCCTTGTGAGCATAAGTTTGAACTTATGATCACCACCCTACGGACTGAGCCATTCTCAATGCCTGATTCTCTGTAACTAATGCAAGTGTCTCCACTGAGGTTTCTAAAGTGACTGTGACAGGGCATCTGGGGCAAAGAAGTCCTTAAGATCTTCATTTCTACTTTTCCACAGCTGGTCTACTGTCTCTGTTCCTGTTATTCCAGGCCTGTCCAGGCTCTGAGATCCTGATCTTAAGCCATCCTAGACTGTCATATTGTGGGCTTAGCACTGAGTCATTGTCTCTGTTATTCTGGCTGGGGATATGCTACCCAGTCCTGACACCTGGACTTCATTTTTCTCTTCCATCCACCACCTCCTTACCAATGGCACACCTGTTTTAGAAACAGGCTGTTACCTTCATCTTATCCCCAAATTACAACTTATATTAGAAAAACTACACTTTTATTAGAAACTTATATTAGAAAACTATAATTCTATTTTGATCTCTGTCCAAGTTTTTATTCTGCCTTTAAATCTTACCAAGTTTTTCCCAGTGATGGAAAACCTGCCCTTGGATGGCTGTCCTGTGGCTTGCAGCCTGGCTTTCTATTGAAGATCACTAGATGGGACCACCAGGCATCACTTGGTAGATCCCCATTTCCAACTTTAACTTCCTAACTGGGATCTGGAGCTGCTTATTCACATCCTGTTCTCTTACCACCCATGCTCACTACTAAATGGACTAGGATTGAAGAAGTAACTGAGTGCCTGAGTGTGGTCAGAAGTGGACCTCAAGTGAGGACGACTTGGGGTTGGTCATGGGCTAGGTAAGCCTACCTGTAAGTGTTAGGAGGGTGTCACAAACCTAGAGAGGCAAGTCTGATGATAACTCGGAGCACAGACTCTGGACTCACACAGATCTAGGTGTGAATCCTGGACAGCTCACTTAATCTCTCTATCCTTCAAATTATCTTTCTAGAAAGTAAGCATAATTCTAATATGAATTTAGTGCTTACAGAGTGGTTGTGAAATTTGAAAGATGATGTAGTTAGAGGCTTTTACCTCTGGACAAGATGGAGTAAGAAGGTCTGGATTTACCATCCTGTTTGCTGCAAAGAAAGGATAAACAGACAAAATATATAAAACAATAGTTTCAAGAGATTGGACATCAAGCAACAAAGGGCTGTGATCCCTGAGAGAGAGAAAACAAATGAGGGGAGCCCAGCTTACTCCACTGAGGGGTTTTTAGTCTGTGATGTAAGCAGAGGAAACTCAGGCAGAGCTTGGCAAATTTCATGACTTGAGGAGACAGAGGGGAGGGTTCAAGGAGTCCAATGTGGCTGGAGTTTGTGAGACCAGAGACCAAATACTACGAAGGAGAGCTACACAGAGAGAACCTCAGGATCTGCAAAGGGTCTGTCTCAAGTATTTGGCAGAGTACTGATCAACCATCTGAATGTTAGAAAAATAATTGAGGCCTGAGAAATAGTCATCTAGAAGGATTATAGAGAAGAGTTTTGTTGGCTATGACAGTGCTACAAATAGTGCCTGTTCCACCACCAAGACTGGAGAAACCAATAATAAGTGAGACACAGGGTGGCATACTCAGGAAGGTCTGGCCCCAGTAGTGGAGAACACTTGGCCCTAGTCTGAACACTTCTCTAGTCCCACCTAACACATCTAAAAGCAAGACTCAAAAGGATCACACTGTTTCCAAGTAACTTAACTATGTCCAAGAACAAAGCTTAAGAATATTTCTGGGACTACAAAAATATCCAGCGCCCAATAAGGTAAAATTCATAATGTCTAGAATGCAATAATTATACGAGAACACAAAGAAGCAGAAAAATATGAGGAAAATAATCGAAAATGATCAAGAAATGATGCAGATGTTGGAATTAGACAAAGACATTAAACAGTTATTATAACTGTATTTGCATGTTCAAAAAATTAAATAGAGCCATGGAAGATATACAAAACACCCAAACTGACTTCTAGAAAGAAAAAGCAATCAAATAATGTCTGATATAAAAAATGCACTGGATAGGACTAATGGCAGAGTAGACAGACATTGCACAGGAAAAGATTAGTAAATTGTAAGATATAGCAATAGAAACTCCCCAAAATGAAATACACAGAGGAAGAAAAAAGAATTAAAAAAAATGGGAACAGCCATGTGACAGCTTCAAGCAGTCTGGTATACATGTGATTGAAGTTTCTGAAAAAAGGGTGGAGAGGAGTCAGAAAAAAATATTTTTAGGTACAATGGACAAAATTTTTTTCTAAAGTTGATAAAAACTATAAAGCCGTAGTCTCCAGACAGAAAATCATCATGGATATAGTAGACTTGAATAACACTATCAACTAACTTGGCCTGATGACATTTATAGAACAGCCTCACCCAATAACAGCGAAATGTATACCTTTTTAAGTGCACATGGAACATTAAGTTTTTGTCAGGGATAGAAGCCTGCCTTTGAATGGCTGTCCTGTGGCTGGGAACCTGCTTTTTATTGCGCATTGCCAGATGGTTCCATGAGCAAGATAGACCATATCCTGGGCCATAAAACAAGTCTTAATAAATTTAAAAGAATTCCAATACTAGAAAATGTGTTCTCTGGCTACAATGAAATTAAATTAGAAATCAATAACATACAGATACCTAGAAAATAACCAAGCATTTACAAACTAAAATACACTTCTGAATAATCCATCAGGTCAAGGAAAAAAAATCAAAAGTATTTTGAATTGAAAAAAAGTATAATATATTAGACTTTATGGGATGCTGCTATGGCAGTATTTAGGGGAAAAATTATAGCACTAAACATATTTCTTAATAAAAAATAATCTCAAATCAATGATGTCACCTTTTATGTTAATAAACTGGGAAAGTAAGGGCCCCTAAACCTAAAGTAAAAAGAAAGAAAATAATAACTATTAAAGCAAAAATCTACAAAATAGAAAACAGTCTGGCTAGAGGTTTTTCAATTTTATTTATCTCCAAGAACGAACAACACTGATCAGGAATCGAAGAGAGAAGAAACAAGCTACCAATATCAGGAATGAGAAGTGGCATCACTACTGATCCACTGATATTAAAAAGACAAAGAGGAAATACTGTGAGCAACTTTATAAATTTCACATCTCAGAAGAAACTGACAAGTTTCTTGAAAGGCATAAACTACTGATGCTTACTCAAGAAGATATAAATAACCTGAATAGTCCTACAGCACATGAAGACCTCGAATTTGTAGTTAAAACATCTACAAAGAAAACTTTAGGCTCAGATACCGTCACTGGTGAGTGAATTCTCCCAAATATTCAAAAAAGAGTTGGCCGGGCACTGTGGCTCACTCCTGCAATCCCAGCACCCTGGGAGGCCAAGGGGGGCAGATCACGAGGTCAGGAATTTGAGACCAGCCTGGCCAATATCATGAAACCCCGTCTCTACTAAAAATACAAAAATTAGCTGGGCTTGATAGCACATGCCTGTAGTCCCAGCTACTAAGGAGGCTGAGGCTGAAGAATCGCTTGAACCTGGGAGGCAGAGGTTGCAGTGAGCCGAGATCGCACCACTGCACTCCAGTGTGGGCAACAGAGTGAGATTCCATCTTAAAAAAAAAAAAAAAAAAAAAAGCTAATATCAATTATATATAAACTGATCCAGAAAATTGAAGATGAAGAAATAATTTTCATCTCATCCTTTGAGGCTGGCGTTATCAAAATCAGATAGAAAAACCAGATGACATTAGAAATAAAACCACAGACCATCTTGTGAACATAGATGCAAAAAATTTCAAAAAAATTATCAAATCCAATCCAATCTTACATAAAAATCAAAATACATCTTGAACCAGAGGGATTTATCATAAAAAAGCACATGTTTAATATTTGAAATGAATCTATTGAATTTACCATATTAGTAAAATAAAAAAGAAAAACTATATGATCATCTCAACAGAGACAGAAAAAGCATGTGACAAAATGTAACATCCATTCCTGAAAAAACTCTTAGCAAACTAGGAATAGAAAGGACATTTTTCAACCTGATAAAGGGCATCTACAAAAGTATCTACAACTAACATCATACTTCATAGTGAAAGACTGAATTCTTTTCCTCTAATATCAAGAATAAGGGAAATATGCCTGCTTTCCCCTCTTCTATTCAACATTAGAAATTCTGATTAGTGCAACCAGACAAGAAAAAGAAGTAAAAAAAAAAAAAATTGGAAAGGAAGAAGTAAAATTGTCATTTGTAGAGTACATGACTGTCTATGTAGAATGGTCTTTTTCAACCTCTGCTGGACATTTTTTTCCTGATAATTCTTTGTTGTGGGGGACTGTCCTGTGTATTGTAAGATGTTTAGCAGAATCTCTGGCCTCTGCCCACTAGATGCCCATAGCACTGCCCCTCCTCCCTCCAAGAGGTGACAACCAAAAATGTATCCAAACATTGTTTTCTGTCTCCCCAGAGGGGTAAAAACCACTCCCAGTTGATAACTTCTGATAACAGAAAATCTGATGGAATCTACAAAAAAGCTATAATACTAGAACTAATAAGTGAGTTTACCAAGATATTATACAAGATCAATATACAGAAATCAATTGTATTTTTATATACTAGCAATGAACAAATGGATATGGAAATTAAATAGCAGTACCATTTACAATAGTTTCAAAAGTATGACAAATGTAACAAAAGATGTTAAAAACTATACACTGAAAACTATAAGATATTGTTGAGAAACATTAAACAAGACTGAAATAGATATACCCTATCATGGGCTGGGAGAGTTAATATTTGTAAGATGTCAACTGTCCCTAAATTAATTTATAAAATTAATGTAATCACAATCAAAATTTCAGCAGGCTTTCTTGCAGAAATTGACAAGCTAATTCTAAAATTCACTGGAAATGCAAAAAAAAAAAAAATCTAGAATAGCCAAAACAACTTAAAAAAAGGAACAAAGCTGAGAGAAAACATTACCTGATTTCAAGACTAATAAAAGGTACAGGAGTCAAGACACTGTGGTATTGATATAAAGACAGACAAAAGTATCAGTGGAAAATAGTAGAGTCCAGAGACCTGCAGATACACGGAAAACAGGTTTTTGACAAAGATGTAAAAGCAATTCAGTGGAGAAAGGATGGTCTTTTCAACAAATGGTACTAAACAATTGGATATTCTTATGCCAACAAAACAAAGCAAAAGAACTTTCAATTTGCATAATTTTGCAAAATTAACTCACATTGATTATAGTTCCAAATGTAAAATACTTTTAGAAGAAAATATAGGATAAAATATTTATGATCTTGGATTAGGTAAAAGTTTCTGAGATAATTTTATACAAAAAGCATAATCTAAGAAAAGTATTGTTAAATTAAACTTCATGAAAATTAAAAACTTCTGCTTTTCAAAAGCAGAATTCATTGAGAGAATGAAAGGACAAATCAGACTGGGAGAAAATATTTTCAGAGCACATATTTAATAAAAGACTTGCATCTAGAATATGCATAGAACTCTTAAAACTCACCAATAAGAAGACATCAACAAAATTAAAACTTTGAGCTTTAAAGGATATCAACAAGAAAATGAAAAGATAACCCACAAAATGAAATAGAATTTTCACAAATCACATATTTGATAACAGACTTTATATCTAGAATATATAAAAAAATTTAACAACTCAATAACAACTCAATAATAAGACAAGTAAACCAATTTTAAAATGGGCAAAGAATCTGAATAGGCATTTCTCCAAAGAAGGTATACAAATGGCCAATAAAACCGTGAAAAGGTGCCCAACATCATTAGCCATCAGAGAAATCCAAATCAAAACTACAATGTATTACCACATCATACTCGCTACGATGGCTCTAATAAAAAAGACAGACCATGACAAATATCTGAAGGAATGTGGAGACATCAGAGCCCTTATACAGTGCTGGTGGGAATATGAAATGGTACAACTCTGGAAAATAACACATCCATGTCTTGAAAGATTAAGTCTAGAAGTACCATATGACCTAGCAATTCTACTCCTAGGTATACACTCTAAATAAATGACAGCAAATATCTACACAAACACTTATACACAAATGTTCATAGCAGCATTATTCATAAAAGCCAAAAAATGGAAACAACACAAATGTCCATCAACGGATGAATGGATAAATAAAATGTGTGCATTCTAGTCATACAATGAAATATTATTTGTCAATAGAAATAAATGAAGCACTAATATATACTAGAACACGAATGAACCTTGAAATCATTATGCTACATGAAGGAAGACAGCGACAAAGGATTACTTATTGCGTGATTACATTTATATGACATGTCCAGAATAGGCAAATCTCTAGAGACAGAAAGCAGATTAGCGGTTGTGTAGTGCTTGTTAGGTGATGGATGGGAAATGGGGAGTGACTGCTAGTGTGTATAAGGAGACGAAATGTTCTAAAATTGATTATGGTGATGATTTAAAATCTGTTAATGTGCTAAAAAGTACTGACTTATATATTTTAATTGGGTAAATTTGTGATATCTAAATTATATCTCAATAAAGCTCTTATTAAATACACACACACACACACACACACACACACACACACGTAAAAGAATGGGCCCTCTAAAAGAAGGCAGGACTTTTTGTAGTGATGGAAATCTTCTGTATCTTGACTGTGGTGATAGTTACCAAAGTGAATACATTTGTCAAAACTCATTGAGATGTATGTAAATTAATTCTCAATAAAGTTGATTTTTAAAAGCCTCAATAATAAGGCAAAAATAAATTAAAAATGGGCGAAAGATTTGAAACTTACCACAGATGGCAAATAAGCACATGAAATGATATGCGACATCATTAGTCATTAGAAAAGTGCAAATTAAAACCACAATGATATACCACTACCTGTTAGAATAGCTAAAATTAAAATGACTAAGTGTGGTCAAAGATATATTGGATCTGGAATGCTCCTTCTCTGGTTTTGTTAATGTAACGTGGTATAACCACTCTGCAGAATGGTTGACAGTTTCTTAAACATTCAGCAGGCATCTAACACGTGATCTAGGCATTCCACTCTTAGGTATTTACCCAACAGAATTTAAAACACATGTTCATATAAAGACTTGTATACAAATGTTCATAGCAGTTTTATTTGTAATTGTGCAAAGCTGAAAATAATCCAAATGCCTATCAACAGGTGAATAAATAAATTGTGGTATATACTACTCAGCAATATAATGGAGTGACCTGCTGAGTACAAACTGTATGAATCCATTTATTTTAAGACATTAGAAAATGCAAATAAATCCACAGCAACAGAAAGCAGATCAATAGTTGTCTGGGGAGGAGTGTGAGGAGGTGCAGGAGGGAGAGTAAAAGGAAATTCTGGAGGCTGATAAATATGTTCACTATATTGATCATGGTGAAAATGTTATTGGTGTATAGATGTCAAACTTTATCAAATTGTGTATTTTAAATATGTGTGGTTTATTGTATGTCAATTATACCTCCATAAAGCTGTTAAAGATAATCCATTTAAAGTGCCTGGCTTGCAGTAAGAGGCCGTTTTCTCTAATTGCTCCCTGGCTTCACACACTGAAATTACAGGAAGGAGAAGTCTCCCACCCTGGCTTGGATAGGCCCCTGGGACACAGGATTGACTTGCCCTCAGTTCTGCCCAGTCCCTTCCCAAAAAACTTTTGTTAGGGAAAGGAAGTAATCAATGGCTTCTTTATCCTTTCCAAGAAGAGCTGACTT
The DNA here is from genome assembly GCF_000001405.40 of Homo sapiens. Classification (NCBI taxonomy): domain Eukaryota; kingdom Metazoa; phylum Chordata; class Mammalia; order Primates; family Hominidae; genus Homo; species Homo sapiens. The sequence continues at coordinate 208,410,101 of NC_000001.11, forward strand.
ACTTAGTCTGTCATATTTCTTTACTCACACTAGGCCTTCTTGGGGTCTTGGCTTTAATAACTATTTCGGTATTATTTTGTTGTAAATTTCCATATAGCCAACCAATGCAGATCAAACCATCTCAATCAAATCAACTGTACCAATATTTTTTCAATGTAAGTTTATGTGAGAAACATGGTAAGTCTACAGGAAGATAAAGAAACAAAGATGAGTGAGAAAGCAGTGATGTCTACAAGGACACCACAGTGGAGCAGGATTTAGGGGCTAAAGTGGGAACACTAGTGACTGCATCCAGCGGGCAGAATGAGATTGGAATATGGGGAGCTGCAGAAGCACCAACACGGGGGTTTACCAACACCAGAGCACTGTCTGCGTCTTCCTCTGTGAGCTTTGTGGGCTCATCCTAACATCCCAGATGCCCTCTTTTTCTTCCACTGCCTGGGAGACCACATATCATCCAGTGGAAGGCGGGAACGTCTCTCCCTGCTGATTGCCTGCTCTCTCTGCCTGCACCCAGAGGAATGGAAAGATTCTGAGCTATCAGATAATTGGGGGAGTCTGGCATTTTCTGTCTTTGCCTGTGCTGCTATCTGCCACCTCCCAGAGATCTGCTAGCTGAGCTTGTAGATCTGATTTTTGGAGGGCTTCTAAAGACAACTTTCAGCTGTGTATTTGTATGCAGCTCTCTGTATGGGCTATTCGACAGGCATTCAGATTTAGGGGGAGAAGCATATGCATGTCAGAAGAAAGCAGATGCTGTATAATCAAAAGTAATTTAGAAGGAAAGGAGATAGTGATAAAAGGACAGACCCCATACCCAGTGTCAGGAGGTTTTGTGCCACTGCTGTACTCTTTCTGAGGCTCCTCGGGGCTCTTTGTGTTCCAAGCAGCTGCATCAAAAGCGATGGGAACCCTTCTGATGGCTTGGTGTACAGCTATAAAAGAAGCAGCCATAAGAGATGGGAGTTATGGGCTCCCAGATGCCTCAGAACCCAGCCAGTGCCATTAGAGGGTTCAGATTGTTAGAGGGTGAGGCAGACTAGGCCTTCAAAGAGAGGTTACAAACCCATAGCCAATAAGTGAATGCAGTGGGGTGAAATGTGAAGATCACGGTCTTCGAAGTCTCCAAACTCTAAACATCACTCAGGCTGAGATTCTACTCCATCCTTTTCTGATCTTGGGTGATCTTGGAAATGTTATTTACTCACTCACAGCCTCATTTTATCAGCTGTAAAATGGAGTGATGATAATAATAATAATGCCTGTCTTTTCAGGGTTGTTTTAAGGACTAAGTGGAATGCTATTTAAGTGCTAAACAGGGGAGTACACTAACATACACAAAGATAAATTTTTAGACGATTTTATGTATTTTAAAATATTTTTTATTTTAAATAGGAGGTCTTGCTATGTTGCCCAGGATGTTCTCAAACTCCTAGGCTTAAGCGATCCTGCCACTTCAGCATTTCAAAGTGCTGGATTTACCAGCATGAACCACTATGCCCAGCCTTGGAGGTTTTAAATATAAGAGGCATTGTATTTGGGTGAGAAAAGGAATCTTTAGCTGCCAAAGATGTTTCCTTGGACTACAGAAGCCTGAGGGTCAAGTCTGGGTGCTAAATGATTGAAACGAAGACCATGCCCACACTGAACGGGACATCCTTTCAGATTTAAACCGCAGGCCCACTGTCAGCCCTGGGCTGCCATGGCCTACAGCCAGGACATCAGTGAATGCTGCCTCTCTTTCCTTCTTGTTTTAGCGAACATGAAATGTTTGCTGGCTCAGAAAGAAGGACTTGACCTCAAGCAAAATAAAAAAGCACAACTTCCAGGTATCAAAATGACTTGAGTTCACAAACTATCCTCAAAAATGGATATCTCACACAAAGAAAGAAAAGTGGAGATCTCTGGGTACAATGGTTTCTTTAGTCAGGGGTAGGGGAAATAAAAAATTGAATATCACTGGAATACCATGTTGCTCTTGTAGGAAAGTAGAACAGTTTCCTTCAGTGCCAAAGAAAATGTCTCTTTACAGGACCCTGACGGTCCTATCAGTAGGTCATGTATCTTTGTACATAAGGAAACAACAGTTATTTAATCATTCTCTTACCATTTGAAGAATAATGGGAAGATTCAGTCCCCTAAAATCTCTACCTGAGTACAAAAGGGAAATTCCCTATGGTGTCTTGTAACTGGTGTCTTCTCCAACTTCCTCTAGTGCTTCTAACTCCACATTTTCAGATAAGTTCCCCCTTGTTTCATAGTTACCGACTGGCTCTGTTCTTGGAGGCCATAGAATCTGCAGTGTGAACCTCCCAGCCTCAGCCACTATCCCTTGTCCTCTTGTTTACTTAATTAATATGATGTGTTCATTTCCGCTGCTGCTGGTAGTGCTCTTATTAGGTCCTATCTGGACTCTTGCCCACTTTGGACATACTTTTTTTCCCCTTTCATGGAAAATCCAAAAACACAGAACCATGGAAACAGTAAAAAATAAATAAATAAAAAGGAGGGGAGGCTTGGTAGGCCCCTCTATGCAATACTACTCATATTTATCTTCACTTTCAGTTTCTGTTAATTGATGAATGAACGTTAAATTATTTAGAGTAGTCCTGGCACATACTAAGCATTATATATACATGCCCACTATCATCATCATCATTTTTATAATATAAAAAATAGAACCATGACACATGCTTCACAATTTACAAAAGTGATTTCACAGAATCCGTGTTTCATGCTCTAGTACATTTCCAAAGGTTACCAATGTTTTCCTTACGGAATATAGAGATCTTACACTGGGACACTGTGAGGCAGAGACAGGTCCTGTAGCATAGACGAGACAGCCTGGGCTGGGAGGGGAGCGTAGATTTTCCCATCCTTTCTGGATGCATTGCTGATGAAAGCATCCTCAGGAATCACCCCAAACACAGTGGCTGGCACATTGTAAGTAAGTATCTAATGTACATTAACAGATTATCTCCTTGAGGTCCCCTCTGCACGAAAAAGCTATGCTTTTAGCAGTTGTACTTGAAAGCAGCCCCAGGCCTCATCAAGCAGCCCTGCATAGGGGCCCAATAAAGTCCCTTCTCACAGTCACGCTGGGGTGTCTTATCTTTAGCTCCCACTCCTGGAGGAAGGGAGTGTACTTGCCCTCAAAACAGCAAAGGGACTATGCTTTTCTTCTCCAATTTCTTATCCTGTGCCCAATCTGAGTTGATTATTGTTTTGCTCCTTCATCTGCCTTTCTCTCTGCTGGATAAGCAGTTTGTGCTAATACTATTTTCCTTTCCAAATCTTTTGTTCTACAGATAATGATCATGATAATAACAATCTTTCTCTTTTGTACAATGCTTCATAGTTTTCAAAGCACTTTCTCTGCCATTTTCCTATTTTTCCCTCAAAACAACCAGGATGGGTAGGCAGGGATGTGCCACTGTCATTCTCATTTTACAGGTGAGATTATGACACTCAGAGAGGCACACACATTTTTAAGGTCACACAGCCAGTAAGGGACAGAACCAAAAGTAGAATTCAAGGCCTTGCCTTCAGGGCCTCAGAGTTTTCACTGGTGCATATGATTTCCTGTGGGTGAGTGGCAGGTGTGGAAGCTCAGAGACGGGGATGAGTGAGCTTTAGGATCATGAACAACAGTAACAGCTGTGGTGGTGGTGGTGGTGGTGGTGGTGACGTGAGAAACAGCTAAGGAGATGTAGGAAAAAGCCAGCATTGTGAGGCTTAAAAATGGATAGAGTTAAGGATTCCGAAATGAGAATTTAAATAACCAAGAAATGTAGCCAACATCCAGTAAGAACTCCATTAGTTGAATTAACAAAGGGATGAATAGTATCAAAGAAAAATATATTCTTTAGCTCCTCTCTGAGGACATGCATGTGTGTTTACAATCAATTTACTCACCTTAGGTAGAGGGAATTGGAACCTCCTAAGACAATGGTTCTCAATTTTGATCCCCAGGGCGCATTGGGAAATGCCTGGGGAAATACCATTGGTTGTCACAACTGGGGAGGGGTTCTATGGCATCAGGGAATAAAGGCCAGAGATGCTTCTGTGCATCCTACAAGGCACAGGACAGCCGCCACAACAATTATCCAGCCTAAAACGTCAGTAATGCCAGCGTTGAGAAATTCACCCTCAAGGAATAGACATTCCACACTTGCCCTATTTTCAGCATGGAGACACCCTTGGCATTACCCTTTTTTATGGGTCTATAAATATGACTATTGGATTATGGAGTTCTTAAGAGAAAAAGAAGGACTTCAAGAATTAAATCTGATTCCAGAATCAAATAATGGCTCAGCTCAATATTTGTTCCCTCTTTAAAAAATTGACCATACTCTCCTGTGTGGAGAATAAGGAAGTGCCAAAATAAGTGCCAAATGATGCTTTACAGGGCTGTGTTCCCAAGTGTTGGCAAAGTTAGGTCTGAAACATTGATAACTAATCTATACAGATCTTGAGACTAGGGTTCTCTGTTGAGAGTTCAGCAGGAAAGGACTGATTGGGAAAAAAAAAATTGTGAAAGGACGAGAAGTCCATGGAATGTCAGAGCTGGAAGAAGACTTAGAGATTATGTAATACTGTCCTTTTACACGTGTTAAACTGAGGCCTCACAAAGTTTGCACTGATAATGGCATGATGAGACCCAAACCCAAGATTCTGTGTTGTTGAGGTAAAACAATGCCCCAAAATATACTTTAGTGTCATTCCACTTTGCACTGGGCCAGCTCTGGTCGGGGTATTTCCTTGGGTTTACTGTGGCATTGTTAATTCCAACACGGAGTAATCTGAGGAATGTTCTCTTGGAAGATATGGATTCTTTGGTACAATATTGACCAAATGATACTTACACTCCTACTGAACATTTACACAATGTCTGATCGTTTCTGAAATTTTTTTGCATGTGCTCTTTCTCACCTTCCAGCCCCTGTACTTGCTGTTTTATGGATGTGTGTGGGGTGCTCTTCTTTTCTTCTTTCCATTTTCCTAATCATTCTTTCTTTAGCAGCTCGTCCCCCACTTCTGTAAGTCTTCCCCCGACTCTGCACACACACACACACACACACACACAGACACACACACACGCCATATAGAATAAATCTGTCCATGCTGCATACAATTTCTATGCCTTGCACATACTTCTGCTGTACAATAACCTGTATCATGTTGGATTTTGTGGAAACCAATAAATAACTCCCCCTTTCTTCCCCTATTGAATTCAGAATCAATTGAGAAATAAGACACAGTTGTCAAACAGATGGAAATAAAAATACCAAGTTTATTGGTAAAATTTATTACAGAACATGGCTTAGTTCTGCAGCCAAGTGTGGCTCCCTAATAATTTCCTCCAGAGTGAAACTCACCCATCTAGCCACAGGCAGAATTAGAAACGTGCTGTGGGGAGTGAGTGAGACGATGGAAAGAAAGAGGCCCTACAGTTTTGCCTTCCTGGAGATTGCTAACATTTTCCTTTCTTTAGGACTAAATATTTCAGAGTTGACATCAAAATACACAGTCTGTCTCCTCTCTTAGATTGTGGGCGACTTGGGGGCAGGGATAGCATATGGTCTATCTTTGTTTTCTCAACTCCAAGTTTAGTGTCTGGTACATAGCAGGTCTGTTAAATGGATGACGTTAAACATACTTCATACCTCTTTCTTCTGCCTCATTTCATTCCTTTCAAACAAAAATTTGATGCTTCCCCAGCCAAGCCCCACCCCACCCACCCCATACATGTACCAACTAATCTCCCAAAGCCCCTGTGAGGTAGTTTTGCTTCCCGTTTTGCAAAAGAGAAAAATGAAACTTGGAGCTGCTTAGTAACCTGCTCAGTTGTCAAAGTCAGCCAGCAAGCAGTGGGTAAAGCCATGTTCAATATGCCACCTCCATAGCCTTCACATAGGGTGCTGTGGGGCTTCTTGCTCATTAGATTACAACTCTCCTCTTTCTGCAACTTCGCCCAAATTCTTAGCTAGTCCTGACCAAGGCAGGACTTTGGATAGACTTAATTCTTAATCTAGTGAGTTTGTAGGCTTAAGACTTAACTATGTTCAGTCACCCAACTACCATTAGAATTGCTCCTGCCAAAACATCATGAGATATCTCTACTCAGGGAAACCACTGGACCCTGTGTAGTCCCCAAGCCACAGCTCATCCTCCTCTCTGCCGAGGTCTCCCTTTCAAGGTTTTCACCCAACCAATGCTCACCTTCAAGTCAGGAGGCCTGCCCTGAGTTCAGCCCTGCTGGACAACTGTGTCCCAAGGACATATTTCAGAGTAATGAGTGCCTGTTTGGTGTCAGTATTATTCTCTACAAATGTGTTCTGACTAGCTGGTCAGGCTCTCAATACCCTCTCCTGGAAGACCCATGGGCTTGTCAAGACCTTAGACACTGTAGCCATCCAAGCTGTCACCCAGAGTTGGCCCCTGGTATAGTGTCCCCGACTTTTATCTATCTGTCCTGGTGGGCAGGGCCCAGGTGAGATTCCAGCCCATTCTTTTCTCTCTCTTCTGTCATCTCCTTGGAGCCAGGGGCAGAGCATCATGCCTTAAAGCTAAGGCTCATTATTTGTGAAGTAGGTGGGACAGGTAGATTTCATTAATTGTCTCCATTTTCAAAAATGAAAGCACAGAGATCTAAGGAAGCTAAGAAGCCTGTCCAAGGTCATGCAGGTCTGATGCAGGATGAAAATCAGGGCTTAGAAAATGTAGATCATTGTGTCTCTGCATGCCCAATCTGTCTCTTCACTATATAGCCAGACTGTCCCTCCTGGCATCTACAAGCCCATGCCTCCCTATTCAATCAGAAGGACATACAATGAGGGGAAAGAAAGAATTTTTAAAAAGACAAAATTTTTTCACAATTCAGCACAGCTCTAATCTGACATGACAAGGCCAAGTCCATCTTTTCACACTGACAATTACTTAAAGGGCATCGATGCCATGGCACCATTAAAGTAATAGCAAAGATGGATTGTACGACATTGTGGATCAATGTGCTAAGTGTTGTTCAACTTGTTCAATGAAATAAAGCATTGAATCATTAACCTTACCAATGTCAATGTATAGTCACTATCAAATTCCACTAAATGAACATCCACGACCCTCATTAAAAAGTGCACTTTGAAGCAACTAATATATTAATACCTTATTGGCCAATAAGAAAAGGAGAAGCTCTCCAGGGCAGGGTAAAGAATCTGGACAGAAGCTAAGAACATTTGATGGAGAGCGGAAGAGTGACAAATGCAAATGTGGAGTTGTGGACTGGATCTGTGATTGAGAAGGAGGTAGAGGGATGAAGAAAGGATTGCAGAGAGCTTTGTGAGCACTTGCTTCCTTGATAGGCAGGCCTGGTTACAGTAGGCAGAAATTGATGGTGGACTGAAGAAGAAAACTGTAACTTTCCATTTTGTCTTCTTTCAGGATATCTTTCTGGTTTAGAAAGGGTTAAATCACTGGGTTTGACCTTAATCCAATTCAGAACCTCAACAAAATGAGAACATATGTACAAAGAAAGCAGTGGGTAAGTGCAGGGTGCATTAGATGGCCTGCCTAAGAAACAGCTGCTGCCTCCTTTTGCCACCTTCCCCACTGTCCTGGGGTGGTGAGAACCCATGAAGTGGAGAGCCTCTGGCCCTTTGGTGTGGAGACAAAGGCAATGAATGGAATTCCAGGGACTTGAGTTCTGCTTCCAGTTCTGCTCCATTGCAAGAAGTCAGGCAGGCAATTCCATTCTCTGAGTCTCAGTTTCATTGCTTGTAAAACAAGGGTCTTGGAGGGAAAAGTGGTTTTTAAGCAGGTTTTCTTTTTCTGGGTCTTCAAGCGTCTGTGGAGGTGATAGGAGCCACTGAAGAAAAAGAAGGGCAAGGAGAAGCAGGAATCTGATCTCTTTCCCTACTCTTTCCAGAGCAGCTCTACTTGCATATATTGTGTATTAGGCTTCTGCATAACAGCTCATTGGAAAAATAAACCCCACAGCTACACAAGACAAAACAAACAAGCAAACAAATAAATTTGGAACAAAAACTCTGAAACTTGTAATCCCCCAAATTCAATAATATTTAACATCAAAATGTACTAGCTGAAAAGTGATAAATGCAGTCCATCATTTAGTCTTTGTATCTACCGACTGTCAATCAGACTGATTTTTCCCTTCTAACAAGGCTTCTGATTATCTTGGCACCATGTAGAAAGAACTTCATTGTGTCTCCACCATCAGAACATGCATTAATGCCTCATGGTCTGATGATAAGCTCCCCAGAGTAGGGTGAGAACATTTGAAAGGGAGCCAAGCATAGTGGGTGAGGAAGGGAAGGGTTCTCCAGAGGAGGGGTAATGGTGGCTAAAGAGGCAGAGGTGCCAATGCAGAGTGGTGAGGGAGATTGGGCAGCTGGTACGGTGGCAATACACAATTTACAGCCAAATAGGATTTTGATTGTCCAGTAATTTCTGAGAACTATTTGCCCAGCTACTCCAAGTTCTGTATTACTTATTGGCTGAATCGGGGGATTTGTTTTTTGTCTCCATAATGTGTACTAAGTGCCTCAATTATCATTAACTTCTGCTGGGGGTGGCTGATTTTTACTCTTATTCATTCTCCAAACTACCTGCAAATATTCCTCAAAACCCAAAGAAACTCTTTTAAAAGTTTACATTTTTCTTTCCTGAGCCCGGCTCTGCAGAGGGTCCCCTGAAAGGGCCCATGCTCTCAGTAGCACTCTGGAGCTCTCTCTTTGGTTACCTGTCTCCATTTGGGGATTTCCAAGTCAAATCTCACAAGAAATGCTTGCACAGAAATCACACAAGTGAACATCATAAAGCTAAAAATGAAACTGTAGTTATTTATATGTGTTATTTTAGAAAGCAAGTTGAGTATCTTTGAGTCAGGAATGATTATTTTAAAGAATGCTCTTTTACCTGACTGTGTGCTCTTTGAAGGCAGGAATCATTATCTTTATTTAATTAATTTATTTATATGATAAATATTATTGTTATTGCTATTATGTATTTCTGCCAGTGTTTCCTAGACTTATCTGAGGGTATGAATTGCTTGGGGTGCTTGGACAAAATACATATTCTTAAGCCTGTTTTCTAGAGTTTAAATTAGTAGATGTAGAATGGTTGCCTAATAATCTGTAATTTTACAAAATGTGTACTTCCATGATTCCTATGATCATACTGATCTATGTAACTGATTGACCAGTTCCAGTTCCATGATAGTCCTCAGCAAACGTTTGCAAAGAGTAAGGACATCCAAGGTGCAGGATTAATGACCCAAGTGTAGCCTAATGAGGGAGAGAGGTACCCATGGAAAACACCCAAGAAGTCATCTGCATTTTCTGAGAGCCCAGTACTGGGTTAGGGGCTGAGCATATTTCATAGACTCGTATCACCCCACCCCCATCTGCTTCCCCAAACTAGACACATAAAGCCTGGGTCTGCTGTAAGCAGATGGTCAATGGATTCAACAGACAGAAATTGAGAACCCCCAAAATACTGCTCCTCTGAGAAACAAGCCGTAGATCCCAAGTAGGTAACCAGACTGCTATCCATTTTAGGATGTTTCCAGCTTCTGCTTCCCTGCTTCATCCTGCTTCCTTTCTGCCTCTCTATACAAGTGGAGTCACTTTCTTGTCCTCCTTTCACCTATAGCAGTCTTCACCCTCATAAGAATCTCTGCTTCATGAAAGAGTAAGATGGTCTGAAGTTGTGCTGTGCTTGCCTCTTAGGAACACGTTTTAGTAGCGACTTACCTCCCTTCACTCTCCTGTTTGTGTGCCTGTCTCAGCTTGTTGATAAATTACCTGGCTCAGGCTCTGCTGCACACATGCCCCCTTGCCCTTGTGATGGCTTCCTGGATCCATGAGATTTTGCGTAGTTTAATGAGATCTGTCTGAGCACTGTGCAGTGGGCTAGGGGTTGGGGATACAACCATGAACAATATACATCCTTCTTGGCTTAGCATCTGGGGAGGAATAAAAGACCAAAGAGCCAGCACAGGATAAATGACGAAAAGTACTAGTTTAGGATTCAGCACAGAATGCTATGGGAGCTCACAGAATGGGCCTTAACTTAACTCTGGGTGCATCAGAGAAGGCCTCCTGGAGGAGGTGCTATTTGACCTGCTTCTTAAGGGGTCCGCCAGTCAAAGAAGGGAGCTGGATTGCTGTCTAGGAGAAGGAAACAACATCTAAAGAAGCAAATATTTAAGAAGCTGTACTCCCTAAACTGCTGTCTGGCATCTTTGGTCTTGGGCTTTATTGCATTTAGGGAAAAGAGTTCTGGGGTTCAGGAGTCAGAAAACTGTATTTTAATTATTTTTCTCTTTTTAATTCATTGTATGGTCCTGGAAAAGTCATTTCTTTTCTCAGTGCCCCAGGGTTATCTTCTGTAGGGAGCTTGGAGAAAATAATCTTTAAAGCATTTTCCAGTTATTCTACTCTGAATCTTCCTGAAATACATGCGTTGTCACTTAGCATGGTGAATTTTTCCACTCTCTGAGTTATGTGTGTGTGTGTGTGTGTGTGTGTGTGTATGTATGGGTGCACATGTGCCTTCATGAATGTATGTGTTGGTAAGGCCTATCTATGTATGGGTGCCTTTGTTGTGGAATTAAGACTATATGTCTGGGGGAAGACACATCTGTTTTTTAAACAAGACAATACAGTGCATCACACACACACACACACACACACACACACACACAATCCTCTGCAGAGTCCACAGCCCATGAGGAGTAGGGGGAGTGAAGAGTGGGTGAAGGAGAGCAGAGCATGGGGCTGTCACAGCCCATGGCTTAAAAATGGCTTGAGTTGCAATTAAAAAAGACAGAGGCCAAAGGTTACTCCCTGGCATTTCACTCAGGTTAGATAATTTTAGAGGGTGATGTGTCTCATCTTGTAGAGATATTCTGAGAGACTTGCAACAGCTTATGTCTAGCTAGCCTGAAATGAAAATCAAAGAGGCCGACACATACAAAGACACTAGAGAGAAGTAGTGCTTTGGCAGACATTGAATGGAGGCAAACTCCACTTGATTGGCATTGCTCTTGCATCCTTACTTCTTGATTAATAGTAGAGATTAGATAATTTTTAAATTATTAATTTTTCCAGAAAGCATATATTATATTAGGTAGTCTTAGGCAGTTTAGTCACTGGGAAGGTTAAATGCTCTCTTTACTTGATAATTACCTAATCACCATTACTCTTTTACATTAATTCTGCCCCAGAATTCATTATGATTGGGCTGGGTTATTAAAGCTTGCATGGAAAGAAATAAAGCATCCTGTTGTTTGCATTGATTTAGTAGCAAATGAAATACCCTACTAATACCAAGCTTATCCAGAACAATCTGGAATAGTTTCTCCTGCCAGTTCGTTAAATTTGCTCCTGGATTCACCTTTGTGTGTCCACTAGCAAGAAGTGCAAATGGAAATGCAGATGAGTCCCTACCTAGGGAGGTCTGAGGCCAAGAGGGAAATAACCTGCAAGAGAGGAAGTTGAAAGCAATTAAAGAAGGGCTTGCCTCTCTCCAGAATGTCAGAGGCTCTTCTGGAGAAGCTGCTGTTTTCCCTCAAACCCTCTTCATGGTCCACTGCTAACAGGTCTCCCAAGTGAACACATCTGTTATCTTTGTCCTTTTGGCAAAACTGTTTGCTGAATCAATGTCAGTGCAGCCAAGTGAGGGCAGAAACCCCTCAGATGGCCTTGGTCAAGACAAGAATTCGTGGGAGCTGCAAACGGGGACAAATAAAAATCGCAGTCACAAAGGTAAGCTTGGCTTTTGCAAAAGCTCCCCTTGGCTGAAATGACGATGAATGCTAACCCCTTATGTGGGCAATGGAGTAGGAAAATAGGGAATCTCACAGGCAGCTTTGGGTTATATAAATTGGAATAAGCCTTCTGGAGGGCAATTTGGCAAAATGTGTTAATGACCTTAAGAAGGTGCTCATCGTTTGACTTAATATTTTTATGTTTGGAAATGCACAAATATATGTGCCTAAAATATTAAAATATTAGTAACAAACTTGCCCACTGAATTATAGAGAGTTGATTACATTAATTGTGGTTTATCTACATGATATGATACTTCCACTCTTCAAAAATCAAATTATGTTTTATTTATTGATATTGAAAAATGTTTCTCATCTATCTGCAAATTTTCTTTTAAAAACAGCGGCTTCAAAAAAGTTACTTTCATCTTAAAAGTCTCATAATAACATGCACTGCAAAAGTATGCAAAGAAAGACATAAGCTGTGATATTAACATTGATTATCACTGGATGGTGGATACTGAATAATTTTAATTTCTTTGTTGTTTTTGTTTGTTTGTTTGTTTTAAGGTGGAGTCTCACTCTGTTGCCCAGGCTGGAGTGCAGTGGCACGATCTCGGCTCACTGAAAGCTCTACCTCTGGGGTTCAGATTCTCCTGCCTCAGCCTCCCGAGTAGCTGGGACTACAGGCACCTGCCACCACATCCGCTAATTTTTTTGTATTTTTTTAGTAGAGACAGGGTTTCACGTATTGGCCAGGCTGGTCTCGAACTCCTGAGCTTGTGATCCGCCCGCCTCGGCCTCCCAAAATGCTAGGATTACAGGTGTGAACTACTGTGCCCGGCCTTGTTTGTTTGTTTGTTTTTGAGACAGGGTCTCACTCTGCCACCCAGGCTGGAGTACGGTGGGATGATCATGGCTCATTGCAGCCTCAATTTCTATGGCTCAGGCAATCCTCCCAACTCACCCTCCAGAGCCGCTGGGACTACAGATGTGTGTCAGCATGCCTGACTCATTTTTATGTTTGTTTTTGTTTTTTGTAGAGATGGGCTTTCACCATGTTGCTCAGGCTAGTCTGGAATTCCTGGGTTCAAGCCATCTGCCCTCCTTGGCCTCCCAAAGTGCTGGGATTACAGGCATGAGCCATGGAACCCAGCTAATTTTGGTTTCTCTGAGTTTTGTTTTTTCAAGGTTTCCAAATTTTTGATAATTAGGACACATTGCCCTTTTAGTTAGAAAATACGCAACAAACTTTATATTTGTCTTTTCAGGTTTTAACTTAGCCCAATAAATGCTGAGATAAACTCATAGAATGTCTGCAAGAGTTAAACATAATCTAAATTATTTAGGAAATATCCAGATCATCTGAACAATAGCAATACTGGAGTTCTGAACAGTTGGTTAGCACATATCCATTTTAGAAGTGGATTAAAAATGTAATCCCAGCACTTTGGGAGGCCAAGGCAGGCAGATCACTTAAGATCAGGAGTTGCAGACCAGCCTGGCCAACATGATAAAACCCTGTCTCTACTAAAAATACAAAAATTAGCTGGGCATGGTGGCACGCGCCTGTAATCCTAGCTACTCGGGAGGCTGAGGCAGGAGAATAGCTTGAATCCGGGAGGTGGAGGTTGCAGTGAGCCAAGATATCACTGCTGCACTCCAGCCTGGGCAACAGAGTGAGACTATGCCAAAAAAAAAAAAAAAAAGATTCCAGGGCTTTTGGACACAGAATAAAAGTAATAAATTGTTATAGCTCATTTTTTGCCTTTTGGAGAAATCACACAGGGAAAGAGGAAGGGGCGGGGTCATCAGGGAAGCAAGATTCTAGTCCTCGCTCCAACTCTAACTGGGCTCGGGCTTCCTCATTTGTGATGTGAAGATTCTGGGCCACATGATTTTTCAGGTTTCCCCACATCTAAAGTTTTAGGATGCTATGGTTTAAATCTACATTGAGAACTGCTGCTCAGAGGGTTGAAATTCAGCTTCTCTAAGCATGAAGATGTTGTGGCAAAATTGAATTCTCCCAAGAAAGAAATAGCTACAGTGAGTCTTTGAACTCAGACAAGAATTCCTTTTGCCCGTAGGAGAATCAAGATCTCAAATGGAACTGCTTTGATTCCCTGAACCAACCCTTACTTTGGTTTCAACTAAGAGATTATATTTAAATAGAAATCAAACTTGAATATTTTTAGTTCTATTGAATATTAAATCTACATAGTCTCTGAATTGAATCATAATTTTCTTTGTCATTATAGCAGACACTATCAGGTGACTACTCCCAAATCCATATCTTCTGGTCATGGCTGTGTGAGGAGATGATGCTGAAAGTGCTTTAGTCATCTTGGACCATGGACCAAAAAACCTTAGGGCAAATGCTAATATTCTGGAAATTGAAAAAGAAAATGAATGTGAAAGCTTAAATCTCTGAGCAGCCATATTAACAAATTCTAGAAATGCCTGGCTATAGCCTTATTATTTGGGATAACAAACACCTTTTTTTAGCTGACTTTTCTGTAACTTAAAGCTTGAAGGATCTGAACTGGCCTCTACCTTTCTTAATTACTTCTTATTTAGCTAGGGAAATAGTTGGTGGTCAAAATATTTAAAAATGTCACATGATAAAGTGCTAAAAATGTACTAGGTATCAAAACATACTTTAGAGCTATAGTATTTAAACAGTGTGGTACTGATGGATAGGTAAAGACAAAATCCAGGTATGCATCCATGTATATATAGGAATTTAGTGACAGAGTGACCTCATGGCAAGACGATTAAAAATGCATCCTCTAAAATTATACTGTCTAGTTTTAAATCCTGGCCCCAGCTGATTATTAGCTGTACAATCATAAAATAGTCATTTAAATTTTCTAAGTTTTACTTTCCTCTTCTATAAAACATGAATAATAATATCTATCATAGAGGCTTGTTGTGGGGATAAAGTAAAATATGTAAGGATTTTAGCAAATCAAAAACGTGCTGAATTTTTTGGTACTTAGTACATCGTAGAAGGTATATTGGCACCATGTAGGCGTCACTTCAAAATTCTCTTTAACTATCTCTTATTATGGACTCATGCTCTCTCATAGGTAGCCACAAGTCACATGTGGCGATGTGTGTTTAAATTTAAATTAATTAATCAAATTTAAATAAAATTAATCAAAAATAAAAAATTCAGTTTCTTAGTTTTGCTAGCTGCATTTTGATAGCTTAACAGGTATATGTGGCTAGCAACTACCACACAGGACAGCTCAGATCTAGACCATTTCTGTTTTCATAGAAAGTGTTGACAGTGTTGTTCAAGAGCTTTCTGCGCAGCCATTTCAATGTGTTGTAAATTTTGGCCGGCTTCATGCAGATACAATCAGACAGCACTTGCTTCTGGCCCCTATTACTCACCCTTTCTGCAGGACATTGTGTGGAATGCAGGTGAGAATATATTATGCACTCATACATGCCCAACCTGGAATTGTAGGGAGTTAGCGTCTGTATGGCAACCCTTGAGCAATGAGGGATGGGAGTCAAGGGGTAAATGCTTTGCTCCTATTATTCCAGTGTATTTAGTAATATTCCCAGAATATTTAGTAAGGCTTCTCAGAAGATCCAGGGTAATTCTGCAAAGGTTGCCCATGGGAGTGGTTGACTTGAAAGCATATTTATGTATTGACTTTCTCTCCTCCCAGGTGTCACTTACCACTTAAGAATGCCTGTTTCTTGGGCTCACATTTCCAAATACATTCAAGCTTTTATCCCAGGTTCTGCTTTCAGAGAATGCAGGCTATAACAGAAAGTATATAATAAAATGTTAGCTCATATCTTTACTGCCAATTAGTAGGAAAAATGACAGAACAATTGGTAAGTGGTATTTAAGTATCAGCAGACCATTCTGCTTTTCATTTTCATAGATGAAAAAATTACATTTATATCAAGCTCACAGATATTCTCTGTGGATTAAAGAAAAAAATTACAATGTTACAAAAGTACTAGAAGAAAATATCAGAATACTCTTTATAATCTTGGACTATGAAAAGCCTTCTAAACAGACATTCAGAATAAATAAAATATATATAGGACTAATTAAATTAAATTTTAATAATTTGTATAGGGCAAAATATAACACAAACGGAAACCTAAGAATTTAGGTATACTATAGACAATGGATTAATTGCTTTAATATAAAGATAGATTCTAAAAATTTACAAATCAATTTTTAAAATACCATATAAGCAACCTAGCACTCTGACTGGCACATCGTGGATGTTTTAGAAATGCTTGTTGGATGAATAAACAACCCCACAGAATAATGGGCAAAGCATTTAAAAATTCACTGAAGCAAATGGGGTGTAAACATATTATCTTCAATTCCACTAGGGATCAGAGGAATAGCTATTAAGCAAGATACAATTTTCTTTCTACCCCCCCGAGATTGGTAGAAATATAAAGGATTGATGATTTCTGGTTAATGAAGGTGTAGGGGGAAACAGCGCTGCTATACACTGTTAGTGGGTGTAAAAACTGATAGGACTTAATGCAGGACAATTTTGCAATATTCATCAAAATTTAAGACGAACACATCCTTTGACCCTTACATTCTACTTTAAGGAACCCATCTGTCTTCGTCTGTTTGGGCTGCCATAATAAAATACCTTTAACTGGGTCATTTATAAACAATAGAAATGTATTGCTCACAATTCTGGATGCTGAGAAATCCAAGATCCAGGCACCAACAGATATGGCGTCTGGTGAGGGTTTGCTCTCTGCTTCGTAAATGGTGCCTTGTTGCTGTGTCCTCACATGGAGGAAGGGATGAACACTCTTGTTGCTGTGTCCTCACATGGTAGAAGGGAAAAACTCTGTGTCCTCCAATGGCGAAAGGGGTGGGAGGGACTAGGGGACTGCCTTCAGCCTCTCTTATAAGGACACTAATCCCATTCATGAGGGCAGAGTCCTCATGACTTAATCACTTTCCTTAAGACCCCACTTCTCAATACCCTAACATTGGACATTTGTTCCCAAATATCAATCTGGGGGAACACCATCTTCCAGACTATAGCAGTATCCTTAAAAAAATTGCAAAGGTAAGTGTACAATAATATGTATAAGAATTCTTAGTACTGGTTAGCATATCAGAAAATTGAAGAAGACTGAATGTTCAAGTTTTAGGGAATGAGAAATTATAGCATAACAAAACTATAGAATATTAGGTAGCTATTAAGAAACTGAAGTAGGTTCAGTAGGATGCCCATTGTTATGGGTTGAATTGGATCCCTCTAAAAAGATAATGTTGAAGTCTTAATCCCCAGTACTGCGGAATGTGGTCTTACTTGGAAATAGGATCTTCACAGAGGCAATTAAATGAAAATGAGGTCATTAGTATGGGCCCTAATCCAATGCAACGACTGTTCCTACAAAAAGGGGAAATTGGCTGGGTGTGGTGGCTCATGCCTGTAATCCTAGCACTTTGAGAGGCTGAGGTGGGTGGATCACAAGGTCAGGAGTTCACAACCAACCTGGCCAAGATGGTGAAACCACATCTCTACTAAAAATACAAAAATTAGCCCAGCGTGGTGGCAGGTACCTGTAATCCCAGCTACTTGGGAGGCTGAGGCAGAGGATTGCTTGAACCCAGGAGGTGGAGTTTACAGTGAGCCAAGATCGTGCCACTGTACTCCAGCTTGGGTGACAGAGCAAGATTCCATCTCAAAAAAGAGGAAAATTTAAACAAAGAGATAGACAGGCATAGAAGGAAGATTATGGTAAGATGCACAGGGAGAAGCTGGTCATGTAACTGGAGTGATGTGTCTACAAGCCAGGGAACAAAAGAAGTTAGAAGAGGCAAGGAAGCAGTCTTCCCTAGAGCTGTCAGAGAGAGCTGGCCCTGCTGCCATCTTGATTTCTGACTCCTAGCCTTCATTACTGTGAGAGAATACATTCGTGTTGTTTAAGCCACCCAGATTTTGGCACTTCGTTATGGTGATCCTAGCACACTGATACACCCATGATCTATTATGAAACAAAATATCAAGTTGTAGACCAATAAATATAATGCAAATTTATTTTGTTAAAATGTTGCCATTTTAACAATATGTGTAGCTAGAAAACTACACTGTGCTTATTTGTAGCTAGAAAAGTGCCTAGAAGGATATCTAAAGGCTGTTTATCAAGACTGCCCCTGAGGAGGGGACTTGTTGGGTCACTATGGGAAAGCCTTTGCTTTTTGCTTCACAAATTATCTATTTATTTTTTTTCTCCAGTGGGCACATACTACTTTCTAAATATATTCTCCTTCTGGAAATCCAAGTTCTTGTACAGGGGCCTTCTTCTTAAGAGGGAGAAGAGAAACAAGAGGTAGAGGAAGAGGAGAAGGAATTCTACCCAGAGGATCCACTATGGGGGTTCCAGTGTCTGCCAAGCTGGGCATCTGAATCTTTTCAGAGAAAGTGTCAGTTCCTAGTCAGTAAAATAAGCAATCGACGTAACTCTCAATGCCTTTGAACTACAAAGAAGAAATCAGATTTTGGCATGGGAAGAGGGGACACCCTCTTTTCCAGTGGAGATGGGGGCCCCTCCCTTAGC
Source organism: Homo sapiens (assembly GCF_000001405.40). Lineage (NCBI taxonomy): Eukaryota > Metazoa > Chordata > Mammalia > Primates > Hominidae > Homo > Homo sapiens. The sequence continues at coordinate 208,428,462 of NC_000001.11, forward strand.
TTCTGGCTGGTGGGTTTTCTCCTCTGTGCCTCTGCACTAAGCCCTGATGTCAGGATGCAGGTCCAGGGTTCATCTGAGCACTATTTGAATGTGTCTGTAGGCTTATCCCTGAATATCTAGGAATCACCAGCAGGGCTTGGTGCTATTCATGGTGGCCAGTACGTCACGTGAAATCTCATCTCATCCCATCTCCTTCTTTTTCTCAGCCCTGAGTTGCCTCTAGGGAACAGGCTAGGGTGAGGCAGGCCGTAGGAGGAGAGGGTGTAAGGCAAGAGGATATGGCAGTTTCTGATGACAGATGGGAGAAGTGCACAATCAGTGGGCCCAGAGAAGCAAATGCGTAAAACCAACGAGGTTTTTTGCAGCTCTCAAAGCAAGCCTATTTTGGCTCCCTTCTCTTCTTCCTTCCATTTTCTCACCCTGTGTTTCAGAGCACTTAGTACCTTCTTATTTTCTTTCCTCTTTCTACCAAACCCAGCCAAGATTTGATCTCGCTGAGGTAGTGAGATCGCTGTAACGTTTCTCTGTGGCCACAGACAGAAATTAAATAAATCCCTCAGGTGAGTTTCAGTTGTCCGTAAGTGTCTCCTCAGTAGCCCCTGATACAATATGCCCTTGCCTGATGAGGATGAAGTACAAAGTAGGAGGTGTTTTATTTTAAAACTCATATTATCCTTCCCACAACCTCCTAAGTATACTATATTTGATTTCTCATTTTTAAAATGGTGAGACTGGGGTGAAAAAAATGAAGTAATGTGTGTAGGTGACACAATTGGCATGACAGATTTGAGGCTTGAAATCACCAGTCCGGCTGTAGATCTCCGTGCTTAGCTACCTGTGACACTGCTTCTCAGGGCTGTGGTCACATGTATCCAGAGCACAACCTCCCAAAATCACACATGAACCTCACTGGTGTTTTTAGAGCCAAGACATGTGATATGAATCAGAAAGAAATCGGGACCAGATGAAATCAAGTGATTCCCCGATCAACGGGCAGAAAGACCCATTGCAAAGGTCTCATTAGACTGTTGAATATGCCACTGCAAGACTGTAGAGACACAACTTGCTCAAGGGTAGGTGCAATCCCAACAGCAGTCAGAATTGAGTTCAGTCTTAAGGGACTAGGAGAAACCTCTTTCTCCTTTAGCCCAGTTCCATGCTGAATGTGTCATTCAGGGAACTGTTACTTTGCCTTACATAGGCTCCCACTTATCCTCAAATATGCACTTTATAGGCTGGACAGGACTAAGCCTGTGACCTGCATCTCTGTTTCCAGGGTCTCTTGCCCTTGGTGATTTCAGCCCATGAACTCTGGTTATTTTACTGTTGCAATACATTTAATGCTTCCTGAAAGCTGGTGGATCGAAAACTCCACATATACAGTGAATTTTTGCAAGTAAAATATTTTTACAATTTTCAACCCAATGGCAAAGGGATCAAATAGCACGGTTGCAGAGTAAAGCTGAACAAGGCTATAGGGCTTCGAAAAGCTATTTGCCTGCATTAAAATATTCCATTGTCCTGTGTCCTCTCCCCTACTGTGTTCACTTCTTAAATAAGAGACTTTGACTCTCCAGGCAGCCTGAATGAGGTTTATGGATGAGACTGATATTTAAGACTCTGGCAAAGCATGACCTTCGGCTCCCCAATAAGCAGCAAGGACAAATTGCAGTGCTTGGGACTTGAGAGTTTAATTCCCGCCAACTGTTTCTCTCCAGCCCATTATGCATGAGAAATGCAACTGGCTCAACTTCTGGTGCCCTGGTAATCCTGGGGTGCCTCCGAATCACAGACCCATAGAATGTTAGTGCTGGAGAGGGCCTTAGAGATCATCAGGTAAGTCCAACCTCCTCATTTTACAGATGAGGAACCTCTCGTTAGGTGTATGTGCCTTGCAGGCTTGGCTGCTTTGCTCTGGCTTGCTCTCTCCAGGTAGATCCAGAGCAGGAAGGCTATGGAGTTGATATGGTTTGGCTGTGTCTCCACCCAAATCCCCTCTTGAATTGTAATCCCCACTTGTCGAGGGAGAGACCCTGTGGGAGGTGATTGGATCATGGGGGTGGTTTCCCCCATGCTGTTCTCATGATAATGAGTGAGTTCTCATAAGAGCTGATGGTTTTGTAAGCATCTGGCATTTCTGCTGCTTGCACTTCTGTCTCCTGCTGCCATGTGAAGAAGTTTCTGGCTTCCCTTTTGCCTTTTGCCATGATTGTAAGTTTCCTGAGGCCTCCCCAGGCATGTGGAACTGTGAGTCACTTAAACCTCTTTCTTTTATAAATTACCCAGTCTTGGGTGGTATCTTTATAGCAGTGTGAGAATGGACTAATATAGGAGTCATTAGCATGCCTGCTAATGTGGACAACATGGAAGTAGGGGAATGTCAGTAAGCACAGGCAGAAATTGCAGACTTGGGTTTCAATGATGTTGGATATGGACAAATTGTTTGCTACTATATAAATGAAGATGAGGATGCTGCTTTTGAGCTTTGTCCTTGAGAAGGTTCTTCATGAGTGCGGGAAAGGGAAATCTTTTTGTCTACCCTCGTTTTTCCTGTGTGGCAGAGGGATCTTGAAGTTTCCCCACATTTCCCCTACCCAGTGATGAATTACTAGCTCTCCAGTTTTTTTGACTTCCTCCTGCCAACTTGGAGCAAGACGTTGACATCTAATAGTTATTGAACCCTTATCATGTGTTGGGCACCATTCTGAGGGCTTCACATGTATTAGTTCATTGAATGCTTACAAAACTCTCATGATATAGGCATGAATATACATTCTATTTTATAGATGAGGAAACTGAAGCAAGAAAAGGCTAAATAGCCTAGGTCACACAGCTAAGTCACTGAAGTCCCAAGGAGGAGAAGAATACTTTAGCAAGAAGAGCTTCCAGGTTAGGGCTAAATGTCTCTAGAAAGCATGTGCTGGTGGTAAATTGAGATAAGTTTAACTGGAGAGGTCTCACTGAAGCAGAATGCCCCTGTCCTACTCACATACACCACTTAAGATACTTTGCATACTAGAAATGACATGGACTTTAGGGTCAGAGATAGCTTCTAATTATTGCTAGCTGCATGACCTTGCAAAAGATAACTGTCTCAGAGCTTCCATTTCCACATCTGTGAAACAGACATATCAATGGTGATGATGATTATGAGGGTGATGAGAATGTGTACTTTGAAGAGTTGTCGTTAAGATGTTGTCATGTAGGGCCTGACAAGAGTGAGGATTTAATAAATGGTAATCTTCACTAGGAGGCCACCTTCTTTTTTTCTTGCCTCTTGTTTTCAGGTGGATGAATTTCCGTTGATGTAACCCTCCCAGCTTCTCTCTTCTCCGCTCACTCAGTAACTGAAGCACAAAAAAGTAGCTTGCTAGTATGTTAGTCACCCAGTTAGTAAGTGGGGAGCTAGAATATAAACCAGACAGTCTGGCTTCAGAGCCCACACAGTTTGATGCCTCACCATGCTAACTCCCCAGAAGACAAAGTACACATGATATCAAATATCTTCTTTCTTATTGGCAGCAAGAAGCTCAAACCTCAGGCTCTTTGGAAAAGGCAGCCTGGAGAAATGGACTCAGAGCTGATGACTCAAACCACACTTTCTTCGAACTTGTTTTATATGCCCATCTTCTTCTCCATTCTGGAAGTGGGTGGCATAGCATATAGACGGTGTCCATTCATCCCCAATTTGTCCAGAAGGATCTTCCTTTACACATGTTTTCTGTGTGTGACTATTAGGATCTCCCCCTTTCACTCTCAAAATGCCTGAGTTTGGAGATAAATTGCATAATTGTTCTATGCATAGGCATGGGAAATGGTTGGGCAAGGGAGGGGCGCAGGTCATGGGCAAGGTTACTGGCACAGTCTTCAAGGCAGAAAAAAAAAATCTGGGGCCAAATTCTTTTTTTTTTTTTTGAGGACTAAGCTAGTTGGCGCCACAAGAAACTAAGACCACATGACTTCTTGTAATCCAGGCTTCTTGAGCTTTGTCTTGGCTGAACTATCTTTGTTCTGGCTCTTGAATGAGTCTTGCTACTGTATTCTAAGGGCCATCAGAGCCCTAAATGACAGCTTAACAGCAGGCAGTTACCCCATGCTTCCTTCAACATGGTCAGGAGCCGCCCACAGGCAACCTGTTGCTGGTGACAGGGATAGGAAACCTGAAGCAAGGAATGACCTATTTTGCCTGGGTCCTGGAGTTAAATTTACTGGCCTAATTGCCAGATGTAATTTCTCTGCACCTCTTTCTGTTAAGTACTCTTTAAGAGCAAAGCACTTAGTAAATTATAAGGAGGTACCAGCGTGAAAGTGCTTACAAATAAGAATTATGGAAAATCAGAAGCCAAATGCTCACAATAGCAATTTTTTTTTTCTTTAATCAGAAAAGGAATCCAAACCATACAGGAGGGGTGAAGTCTCTCAAGCAAGCGATAACATAAGCTGTTCATATATTTTAAGATCTAATCTATCATTTAAAAATTATTTTATTACAGGGAAGTTTTATTAAAAATAGAGTCATGTTCCAATATCCCACTGTGTGCCCCAAGGGAAGCCAGATAAAGGGCAATAATAGAACTAATGGGAATTAACTTTATGGCATTAATCTACCAGGCTGAGAGAGCAAGAGGCACAAATTGGTAGATGGGGAAATTCAACTACCAATCAACCCATGCCACATGTGTTTGGTAGCTGTTTCTATGGGTTTTCATTTCAGGAAAGTGAGTTAGTCACACAGAAGATGGCATGTGACCTCAGCCACAATGAAGGCAGAAAGAAACAAAACCCAGGCTTTCTGGAATCTTGGGTAATCCCACAGGAAGATGTTGAGTTTCTTAGAAACAGAGCGTGGAGGAGGAGCCAGCTATCTATCAAAGGGACTGTGAGTTTGCTGGCTCCACATCAGTCACCTCCTGGGGGCAGGACATCAAGCACAATTGGCACATATTTTTCCATGTCTCACCATCACAGCTGGAATTGGTAGCATTGGGTTCATAAGAGGCTATGTTGGGAAAACCAGCAGACCAGGCATTTTTGAAAACCACAGCTTACATATATAAACATGCCCAGCACAGTGTATAGAATACGAGAGCACAACAAATGTCAGCCCCTGTTTTCCTCTCCCTGTCCCACTGTGTCTCTAGAATAGCAAGATGATAGAAGATGCGACTTCCATCATCAGATGGAGACAAGACTTTCTTGGGCTTTCTGGGAACTCGGTCCATCTTCCTAACTACATAGAGGTTTACAATTAATGCACATGGCTTGGGAAACTCACCTCTTTTGAGAATAAAATGTTTTCAAGCTCCTTTCTGTTTCTATCACCATCCACATGTGTCTCTAAGGCCCTTGTGACTAAGGCCATGGCCACCAGCAAGCTGTAGACTGATTCAAGATGGAATGGACCTGAAAGCCTCTTGATTCTCAGAAGACAAGAGCTCCCTTCTTAGAAAGAAAAGAAAAAAGAAAAAAAGAGAAGAAAAGACTTTCTGCTTTGGATAGTGGTTATGCTGGTAAATCCAACAGACAGCCCTAAGGAAGAAATGAGTCGCAGAGAATAAACTCCATCTTCCTACCTAACAGGATTTCCTTATCGCAAATGGGAGATTCGTAAATGCAAGACTTAAAAGCCAAGAAATCTCTTTTTCTTGCCAACCGGGGATTCCTTTCCCACATGCATTCCCAAAGTCTCAGCTGGTGCTGATTGTGTCCAGCAGCCTAAATCACAAGGAGGCTCTTAACAATATACAGGCTGCAGTTTGGACAGGGTCACTATCTTTAGAGCAAAGTGTGCTGCCTCCCCCAGCTACAAGTCAGCTGTCCTTTCCTCATCTCCCTCAACCTCCAGCCCCAGGGAGAAATGCATTAGCAAAAGCCAGAGCAGGCAGGGTTGATTTGAAAGAGAATGCTATTTGCCTAATATTTCTTCTCTCCACATCATCAAAATTGGTCAGTTTCATAATGCTCTATGTCCTTTACACATTGTCAGGTAAGATACATTGCAAATGTGTGTGGCTTAACAAATATATGGTAAATAAGCATTTTTCCTCTTCTTTCTATCGATGAAAGATTCTACAGAAAGCTGAAGGAGGACAGAAAGCCACTTTGTAAAAATGATAGATACGGTATAAAACTCCATAGCTTAAACATCTAACTTGCTGAGTTTTAATGGGGTTGTCATCACCGGACTGTTAGCTTAACTTATGAAAATCAAGAAAATGCCTTTTTGTTGCTTCATAAATCCTGATGAACAATAGTCCGACAACAGAAAACAACCTCTGATTTTGGAATGATTGCTCTCTGTGTATCGCCCGTAATGAAGTATGAAGGAAATCGAAGACTTATTGCTTACAGACATTAGCACAGACTCAGATGGCTCAATTTTTTTTTACCATAATAGATAATTCTTAAATTATATGCCTAAAAAAGACAAATTCTAGAACTAACGGAAGGCATTTATTATATTAACAAGTGTGTTTTCGATTCCTTCAAAACAGAATGTAATTTAATCTCGGCTTCAGAGACAGATTGGAAATGTTAAATGTCTGCTTTTCAGAAGTGATTTCTGCGGGGAGAAAAGTATTCACCATCAGCTTTAGCTGTGTAACTGGGGGAAAGGATGTTTATCTTAACAGCACACAAAGGGAGAAGTTGTGGAATTTTTTTCCATTTTCTTTTTCATTTTTTAAATATAGAGCAGATTGTATATATCCTAGTACTTACCCAGGGCAACTTCTGCCTTGCTGAATGTAACATATTCCACTGTGAGAAAGAATAATTATCTGATAGTGACGGAGACCCTTCTTAGTGTTCTGTGCATATAAATGAAAACCTGAAACCTGCCCAGTGGTGTTCATTGTCTTATTTGTTACTCCAGGGACTTGGCTGGGTGTGGCTAAGGTCTAGACTGGAGATTTGTGATTTTCTGGGGCTATCCAAAGGCCCCAGTTAATAATCGACCTGCAGAGGATGGTCAAAGCTGTAGAGGACTAGCATACAATGCCACGTGAGAAGAAGAATAGAGGGATCTGAGGCTGTTTGACTTGGAGAAGAAAGATAACCTTAGGGAAGGGAGAAGGGGTAGAAGAAGGTCATTGTAGGAGTTAGCTGTGAGTCTCATATAGAGGGGGGCAAGTGGCTCCAGAGGGCATACTGGGACCAAAGTCTATTTTCATAAGGGAGAATATTTTTATTCTATTTGAATAATGTCCTAATTCACCTTGCGGAGAGGAGGGTATCCAGGGTGCTGGATTCCATAAGAAGTTCAGGACTCGTGCCTAGGTACAGAATGAGGAAGATGGAGTCAAATGAGATTTGAAAGACAGGCAGTGTGTAGTGGGATGGACAGCAGGCAGTGGGACCCAGCAGGTGACTTCAGAAGGGAATCAGGGGACGCCGCATGCGAAGATTCTCATCTGATGGATACATTTGCAGGGCATGTTACAGAACACCTGAAGCCTCACCTGTAGGTAGGAAGGAAGCAGTCAGTGTGCCTCCCCAGTTTGGGTGAGGGACTTGCTCATAGTGAGAGCTGTCAAAGAAGAGAACTGATGGTCTTGTAAAGAAGTAATTTCTCCGTATCTGCTCCTGTTCACATGGAAGCCAGTTGACTGTCTGCTGGGGATACTGTGTAGGGGATGCCAGGCTTGGGTGGGACACTTTTGGGGATGACCTCTGAGGTCGTGCCAGTTCTAACTGGCATAAAAATGTCTTCCTTGTCACCATGATTCATTCATTCAGCACTGATTTATTAAGCCTCTACTATGTCCCAGCCAAAGTACTAGGCACTGGGGACATGAGGGTGAACACACAGACATAAACCTGGCTCTCATGGCACCTACTGCCTTGTGCTGGTTGTTATGAAGAAGTGCAGGTGCTATGGAATGTATCGCAGGTATTTGGATATATTGTCTGATAGGATGAAGATGGACTTCCTGGAAGAGGAAATGTTGAGGGACAAAGAGAGAGAAAACGATACCTTTATGCAAGGAGAACAGAGTGAATGAAAACACGGAGGAAACAAAGGGCAAGTCCAAACTGTGGAATTACCCTTTAGCTTTAATGTCTGAACAAAACAAAATGTGGTAGTCAGGGAGAACCTTATGGACTTATTTTCACAGCTTAATTGGTTACATTAAATTAAAAGTTGAGGTAGGGGAGGACAGAGAAAGAATACATGCCTTTTGATCCAGATTAAAGTGATCTGGTAGGGATTAAAAAATGGGGATTATCTCTTACCGGCAGGGTTTGGTTGAATAAAGCAGTGGAGTTTTGGGGGATAGGTTACAGGGGAATAGCATGAGCCTTCTGGGGCATGGTTGGAGGTATTTAGAGATATCAAGGCAAAAAAAATTGCACAAAGAGAGGTGAGAAACCTTCTTTCATGCCCTCAGCTGGTAAGAAGATAAACTTTCTTCACTTGAAGTGTTGTCCAGACCATAACTCAGTCCTGAGTGTCTCTCAGGCACAAAAACCCTTAGTTTGGCCAACCTGCCTTCATGCTTTTATGCAGGGAGAGCCTGTGGTGTAAGTTAATTTGGGATTTTAGAAAGGGAAAAAAAACCCTCCATTCATTTTGCTTTCTTCCTATACTGTATAGCTTGCAAAGTATTTCACATATATCTGAAGAGGGTTTGGTCATCTTTGTTGAGTAGAGAGGAGTTGAGATTCAGAAATGGGAAATGACTTACCTAAGGTTGCAGCTCCACTTGGAAGCAGTGCCACTACACTCCTGATCGGATGGTTCTTATTTTGGCATGTGGTTTCCATTGCTGGGGCCTGAGAAATAATGTTGTTGTTGTTGTTGTTTTCCCAAGAAACACCTGCCCCCTCTAAAATGGAAATATGAAGGGTTAATGAAGGGACAGACCCCAGGAGGCTGATATCCAGTACAGCTGCGTGTCCTTGGAGAAGCACAAGGACTTTCCTGAGTGAAAGAAAAGAGAGGGCCTACCTGTAACAATACCTCAGAATGGTTGATAAGCATTTGCTCCTCTATTCTGGGTCTTTTTTTCTCTCTCTCTTTTTTTTTTTTTTATTGCATTGCTGTGGAGTTGAAACTGGCTGAATCAGCACTGAATCATTTAGCAGGAAATGATGAAAACTGTCACTTTCCTCTGTCTGCATAGTAAGACACAGCAGAGAGAGCCCAAGATGACGGAGGGGCCGTCTGACAATGCCTCAGGCCTCAGATTGGATTGTGAATGGGAAGAGCCCATAGTCTAATCAGTAGTCATTCCCCCAGGTGGGTCACAGAGTGTGAATGTGAGGTTGTCCCTGCAGCAAGGACACCTAGTTTACAGACCCACAGAAACAGTGAGGTGAGGAGGCGAAAAGACAATCTGCGGGTCCACTGGGAAATCTTGCACCAGAAGTTGAATATCTTAAATAATAGGGTAACCTGGACCCCATTTGGTGCTTATAGTAGCTGTGGGAAAGAGTGCCAGCCAAAGGGCTTATTGACAGGGAAGAGATTTTCTTGAATTCCCATAAATAACATGTAACCTTGCTGGAATGCCTTTTGCTATCTGCTCATTCAGCAGGGAGATGTGAGATGTTTTCACCATCCACTCATTTTAAAGTGCTTTCAGGATTTTTCATAAAATAACATGGCTTTGTAATGTTTGGCATGTTACTTTACCCTTTGAGCCTCAGTTTCCTCTTTTATAAAATAGAGATGTTAAAACCTATAGCCATAGCATTATGTGGCTGAATAATGACATAATGAATGTGATGATACTTTGTAAAGTGCACATCATTATATTATTCAGAATGCAGAGTCCTTGGGGGCACTTCAGAGCCCTTACTCTAGCACTTATCATAAGCAAGCAAACACACAACTCTCCATCTCACCCCTCCTCGTCCCCAGCTTAATGGCTTTAATGCAACTATGGACATGACCACTGACCTATGTGCTCCAGTTGAGAAGTGGTATTAATGGGAATGAGACAGGCTCCCAAATCCTGAATTGCTTCTGCTTTCTATTAAGCTAAGAGACTCTGTAGCTATGACTATGCATTATTCAGCATTCAAAAGAAAAGTATGCAACGTTCCTAACCATCCACATATTTCTGATGGTCCAGTGTTTTGGTAAGATTTATATCACAATTTAGAAACAATGTTTCTGGAGTGAGGGAGGAAAGAACAATGGAAAGAGTGTTTGTTTGTTTGTTTTTGTAATTGGGCAAGGAGAGGTACAGTCCAGGTAGCTCCTAAGAAGAGATGGTGTAGTGTTAGGAAACATGGCAGGGCTGCTGGAAATACTGGGTGCTCAGTGGGCAATTATGTGATTGGAAGATTTAGCTGGAATGAAGTTACGTTTACTCACAATAATCATTCCAGGAAAGTTCTGCCCACCTACTTTTTCTGTCTCATTCATTATTTAACAAATATTTATCCAACTTCTACTATGTAAGAAATGTCTTTGAAAGATCTAGATGAACTCAGGATGATGACTTCAGTTAGGGTGGTGGCAATGGAAATAGAACAGAGACATATATTTGCCACTAATAAATAAGTTGGCATGGCTTGCCAATAGATGCAATATAGTTTGTAAGAAGAAAAAATAATCCAAAGAGGGTTTCTGTATTTTTGGCTTAGAAAATGGATAAATGGAGGTAATCTTTACTTAGATGTAGGGGTTGGGGGAGGGACGGGGGAGCAATAGATTTGGGTGGAAAAAGCAGAATCAAGAACTCTGCCCTGGGCATACTATATTTGAGATGCCTTTAAGCCATTCAAATGATTTAACAAGTATATGCTTGGGTATACAAGTTTGGAGCTCAGTTGGGAGCACAGTCACGGCCTTGGAACACAAATATGGCAATGATCGGCATTTTGATATTTAAATCCAAGGGACTAGATAGGATCACTTAGGGAATGGATGTTGATAGAAAAGAGGACCCAAGGCTGTGACTGCAATATTTAGAAAGAGAAACCAGAAAAGGGGTTGGGAAGGAATGGCTAGTGAGGTGGGTGGAAAGCCAATGGAGCGTGGTGTCATGGAAAGGGAAGTTATTCTAAATAATTCCTAAGGTCCCTCGCAGTGCAAGCTGTCTGTGATTCTTTTTTGGTTCCCTCTTTTATTTCTCTTATTTTTCCTACAGTTTATTTAAAAAGCAAACACAAATCTTTGATAAAAATTACATGAAAATCTTGTTCAAGAGACAAAGCAAAATTTCACCTTTACCTTAGTGTATTATTGTTTTTTTAGCAAATCTTTTTAAAATTTTTATTATTTTATTTTATTTTTCCAGAAGTTATTGGGGTACAGGTGGTATTTCTACTTACTTACATGAGTAAATTCTTTAGTGGTGATTTGTGAGATTTTGGTGCACCCCTCACCCAAGCAGTATACACTGCACCATATTTGTAGCCTTTTACCCCTCTCCCCCTCCCACTTTTTCCCCCAAGTCCCCAAAGTCCATTGTATCATTCTTATGCCTTTGTATCGTCATAGCTTAGTTCCCACAGATCAGTGAGAACACGCGATGTTTGGTTTTCCATTTCTGAGTTACTTCACTTAGAATAATAGTTTCCAATCTCATCCAGGTCACTGCAATGGTGTTAATTTATTCCTTTTTATGGCTGAGTAGTATCCCATCATATATATGTGATATATCTATGATATATGATATATATCAGTTTATATATATATCACAGTTTCTTTACCCATTCATTGATTGATGGGCATTTCGGTTGGTTCCACAATTTTGCAATTGTGAACTGTGCTGCTATAAACATGCATGTGCAAGTATCATTTTCGAATAATGACTTCTTTTCCTCTTGATAGATACCCATTAGTGGGATTGCTGGATCAAATGGTAGTTCTACTTTTAGTTCTTTAAGGACTCTCCAGACTGTTTTCCATAGTGGTTGTACTGGTTTACATTCCCACCGGAAGTGTAGAAGTGTTCCCTGATCACCACATCCACACCAATATCTACTGTTTTTTTATTTTTTTATATGGCCATTCTTGCAGGAGTGAGGTGGTATTGCATTGTGGTTTTGATTTGCATTTCCCTCATCATTAGTGATGTTGAGTATTTTTTCATATGTTTGTGGGCCATTTGTATATCTTCTTTGGGAACTGTCTATTCATGTCCTTAGCCCAATTTTAGATGGGATTTTTTTTTCTTCTTGATTTGTTTGAGTTTGTTGTAGATTTTGGATATTAGTCCTTTCTCAGGTGTAGAGATTGTGAAGATTTTCTCCCACTCTGTGGGTTGTCTGTTTACTCTGCTGACTGTTCCTTTTGCTGTGCAAAAGCTCTTTAGTTTAATTAGGTCCCAGCTATTTATCATTGTTTTTATTGCATTTGCTTTTGGGTTCTTGGTCGTGAAATCCTTGCCAAAGCCAATGTCTAAAAGGGGTTTTTCCAATGTTATCTTATAGAATTTTTATAGTTTCAGGTCTTAGGTTTAAGTCCTTAATCCATCTTGAGTTGATTTTTGTATAAGATGAGAGATGAGGATCCAGTTTCATTCTCCTACATGGGCTAGCCAATTATCCCATTACCATTTGTTGAAAATGGTGTCCTTTCCCCACTTTATGTTTTTGTTTGCTTTGTTGAAGATCAGTTGGCTTTAAGTATTTGGGTTTATTTCTGGGCTGTCTATTCCATTCCATTGGTCTATGTGCCTATTTTAATACCAGTACCACACTGTTTTGGTGGCTATGGCCTTATAGTATAGTTTGAAATCAGGTAGTGTGATGCCTCCAGATTTGTTCTTTTAGCTTAGTCTTGCTTCAGCCATGCAGGCTCTTTTTTGGTTCCATATGAATTTTAGAATTGTTTTTTCTAACTCTGTGAAGAATGATAGTGCTATTTTGATGGGGATTGGATTGAATTAGTAGATTGCTTTTGGCAGTATGGTCATTTTCACAATATTGATTCTACTCATCCATGAGCATGGGATGTGTTTCCATTAGTTTGTGTCATTTATAATTTCTTTCAGCAGTGTTTTGTAGTTTTCCTTGTAGAGGTCTTTTGACTCCTTTGTTAGGTATATTACTAAGTCTTTTTTTTTTTTTGCAGCTATTGTAAAAGGGGTTGAGTTCTTGATTTGATTCTCTGCTTGATTGGTTTTGGTGTATAGAAGAGCTACTGATTTGTGTACATTAATCTTTTATCTGGAAACTTTGCTGAATTCTTTTATCAGTTCTAGGAGTTTTCTGGGGGAGTCCTTAGGGTTTTCAAGGTAAACAATCACATGGTCAGCAAACAGGGACAGTTTAACTTCCTCTTTACCAATTTGGGTGCCCTTTATTTATTTCTCTTTTCTGATTGCTCTGGCTAGGACTTCCAGTACTACTTTGAAGAGTAGTGGTGAGAGTGAGCATCCTTGTCTTGTTCCCATTCTCAGAGGGAATGCTTTCAACTTTTTCCCATTCAGTATTATGTTGGCTGTGGGTTTGTCATAGATGGCTTTTATTACATTAAGCTATGTCCTTTGTATGCCAATTTTGCTGAGGGTTTAATCATAAAGTGATGCTGGATTTTGTTGAATGCTTTTTCTACAACTATTGAGATGATCATGTGATTTTTAAAAAAATTCTGTTTATGTGGTGTATCACTTGTATTGACTTGTGTATGTTAAATCATCCCTGCATCCCTGGTATGAAACCCACTTGATCATGGCGGATTATCTTTTTGATATGTTGTTGGATTCAGTTAGCTAGTATTGTTAAGGATTTTAGCATCTGTGTTCATCAAGAATATTGGTCTGTAGTTTTCTTTTTTGGTTGTGTCCTTTCCTGGTTTTGGTATTAGGGTGATGCTGGCTTCATAAAATGAATTCCAGAGGATTCCTTATCTGTCTATCTTGTGGAATAGTGTCAAAATGATTGGTACCAATGCCTCCTTGAATGGTAGAATTCTGCTGTGAATCTATCTAGTCCTGGACTTTTTTTGTTGGTACTTTTAAAATTACCGTTTCAATCTCGCTGCTTATTATTGTTCTGTTCAGGGTGTCTAATTCTTCCTGACTTAAGCTAGGAGGGTTGTATTTTTATAGGAATTTATTCATCTCTTCCAGGTTTTCTAGCTTATGTGTGCAAAGGTGTTCATAGTAGCCTTGAATGATCTTTTGTATTTCAGTGGTGTCAGTTGTAACATCTCCTGTTTCTTTTCTTAGTGAGGTTATTTGGATTTTCTCTCTTCTTTTCTTGGTTAATTTTGCTATGGGTCTATCCATTTTATTTATCTTTTCAAAGAACCAGCTTTTTGTTTCATTTATGTTTTGTATTTTTTTTTGTTTCAATTTCATTTAGTTCTGCTTTGATTTTGGTTATTTCCTTTCTTCTGCTGGGTTTGGGTTTGGTTTGTTCTTGTTTCTCTAGTTCCTTGAGGTGTGACTATAGATTGTCTGTTTTTGCTCTTTCAGTCTTTCTGATGTAGGCGTGTAGGGCTATGAACTTTCCTCTTAGCACTGCTTTTGCTGCATCCCAGAGGTTTTGATAGGTTGTGTCACTATTGTCATTTACTTCAAATAATTTTTAAATTTCCATCTTGATTTTGTTTTTGACCCAATGCTCATTCAGGAGCAGGTTACTTAATTTCCACGTATTTGCATGGTTTTCAAAGTTCCTTTTGGAGCTGATTTCCAGCTTTATTCCACTGTGGTCTGAGAGAGTTCTTGATACAATTTCAATTTTCTTAAATTTATTGAGGCTCATTTTATGGCCTATCATATGGTCTACCTTGGAGAAAGTTCCATGTGCTGTTGAATACAATATGTATTCTGCATTTGTTGGATGAAATGTTCTGTATATAACTGTTAAGTCCATTCGTTCCAAGGTATAGTTTAAATCCATTGTTCCTTGGTTGACTTTCTGCCTTGATCACCTTTCTAGCACTGTCAGTGGAGTATTGAAGTCTCCCACTATTATTGTGTTGCTGTCTATCTCATTTCTTAAGTCTATTAGTAATTGTTTTATAAATTTGGGAGCTCCAGTGTTAGGTGCATATATGTTTAGGATTGTGATATTTTCCTGTTGGACAAGGCCTTTTACCATTATATAATATCCCTCTTTGTCTCTTTTAACTGCTGTTGTTTTAACATTTGTTTTCTCTGATATAAGAATAGCTACCCCTGCTTACTTTTGGTGTCCATTTGCATGAAATGCCTTTTTCCACCCCTTTACTTTAAGTTTATGTGAGTCCTTATGTGTTAGGTGAGTCTCCTGAAGGCAGAAGATAGTTGGTTGATGAGTTCTTATCCATTCTGCAGTTCTGTATCTCTTAAGTGGAGCATTTGGGCCATTTACATTCAATGTTAGTATTGAAATGTGAGGTACCATTGCATACATCATGCTCTTTGTTGCCTACATACTTAGTTTTTTGTTTTTGCTCTTTAACTTGTATTTTTGTTTTATAGGTCTTGTGTGATTTATGCTTTAAAGAGGTTCTGTTTTGATGTGTTTCCAGGATTTGTTTCAAGATTTAGAACTCCTTTTAGCAGTTCTTGTAGTGGTGGCTTGGTAATGGTGAATTCTCTTAGCATTTGTTTGTCTGAAAGCGACTGTATCTTTCCTTCACATATGATGCTTAGTTTCACTGGATACAAAATTCTTGGCTGCTAATTGTTTTGTTTGAGGAGGCTGAAGATAGGGCTCCAACCCCTTCCAGCTTGTAGGGTTTCTGCTGAGAAATCTATTGTTAATCTGATAGGTTTTCCTTTATAGGTTACCTGGTGCTTCTGTCTCACAGCTCTTAAGATTATTTTCTTTGTCTTAACTTTGTATAACTTGACGATAATGTGCCTAGGCCAAGATCTTTTTGTGCTGAATTTCCCAGGTGTTCTTTGTGCTTCTTGTATTTGCATGTCTGGGTCTCTAGCAAGGCTGGGAAAGTTTTCCTTGATTATTCCCCCAAATATGTTTTCCAAGCTTTTAGAATTTTTTCTTCCTCAGGAACACCGATTGTTCTTATGTCGTTTAACATAATCCCAGACTTCTTGGAGGCTTTGTTAATATTTTCTAATTCTTTTTTTTTGCCTTTGTTGGATTGGGTTAATTTGAAGACCTTGTCTTCGAGCTCTGAATTTCAATCTTCTACTTGTTCAATTCTATTGCTGAGACTTTCCAGAGCATTTTGCATTTCTAAAAGTGTATCCAAAGTTTCCTGAATTTTTAATTTTTTTTCTTTAAGCTATCTATTTCTTTGACTATTTCTCCCTTCATTTCTTATATCATTTTTTGGATTTCCTTGCATTGGATTTCACCTTTCTCTGGTCCCTCCCTGATTAGCTTAATAACTAACCACTTGAATTATTTTTCAGGTAAATCAGGGACTTCATATTGGTTTGGATCCATTGCTGGTGAACTAGTGTAATTTTTGGGGGGTGATGAAGAGCCTGGTTTTGTCATATTGTCAGGGTTGGTTTTCTGGTTCCCTCTCATTGGGTAGGCTCTGTCAGAGGGAAGGTCTAGGGCTGAAGGATGTTGTTCAGATTCTTTTGTCCCACAGCATAGCAGGACAATCCACAGACAAAACCCCTCAGACATGGAGTTAAAGAAGGAAGGGCTTTATTTAGCCGGGAGCTTCGGCAAGACTCAGGACTCCAAAAACCGAGCTTCCCAAGTGAGCAATTCTTGTCCCTTTTAAGGACTTATAACTCTAAGGGGGTCTGCGTGAGAGGGTCGTGATCGATTGAGCAAGCAGGGGGTACATGACTGGGGGCTGCATGCACTGGTAATTAGAATGGAACAGAACAGGACAGGGATTTTCACAATGCTTTTCCATACAATGTCTGTAATCTATAGATAACATAACCAATTAGGTCAGGCGTCAATCTTTAACTACCAGGTCCAGGGCATGGCGCTGGGCTGTCTGCCTGTGGATTTCATTTCTGCCTTTTAGTTTTTACTTCTTTCTTTGGAGGCAGAAATTGGGCATAACACAATATGAGGGGTGGTCTCCTCCCTTAACAGGGTGTTCCCTTGATTTAGTACTCTCCCCCTTTTCCTGTGGATGTGGCTTCCTGTGAGCTGAACTGAAGTGATTGTTGTCTCTCTTCTGGGTCTAGCCACCCAGCAAGTCTACCCAGTTCCAGGCTGGTACCAGAGGTTGTCTGCACGGAGTCCTGTGATATGAACCGTCTGTGGGTCTCTCAGCCTTGGATACCAGCACCTGTTCTGGTGGAGGTGGCAGAGGGTGCATTGGACTCTGTGCAAAAAATAATGCTCCATTTTTGTGCTGGTCGGCCTCCTGACAGGAGGTGTCACTTTCCAGAAAGCATTAGCTGTAGCAGTGTGGAGAGGGACTGGCAATGGGTGGGGCCCTAGAACTCCCAAGATTATATGCCCTTTGTCTTCCACTACCTGGGTGAGTAGGGAAGGACCATCAGGTGGGGGCGAGGCTAGGTGTGTCTGAGTTCAGACTCTCCTTGGGCTGGTTTTGCTGCAGCTGCTGTGGCAGATAGGGTAAGATTCCCAGGTCACTGGAGTTGTGTACCTAGGAGGATTATGGCTGTCTCTGCTGAGTCATGCAGGTTGTCAGGGAAGGGCAGTCAGGGAAGTGGCAGTCACAGGCCTCACCCAGCTCCCACACAAACCAAAGGGCTGATCTTACCTCCCACGGTGCCCCACCAAAACAGCCCTGAGTCTGTTTCCAGGCAGAGGGCTAGACGGGCTTGAAAACTTGCCGACGCTTTCCGCCTCCCAGAGTATATTTGAGGTGTCTCCCGGGTCCTGCAGTAGCAGTGTGCTTCCTTCAGAGGGTCTGTGGGTCCTCTCAGGATTGCTGGTTTGTTCTTGCTGTTGATCCGGAGCTAAAATTCACAGTGCAAGCCCCCGCATGCTGCTCTGTTCCCAGCTGCAATCTAGTCCTCCCTCCCGTCTGCCATGATCCTGAAATCCCCCTCTCTGTGGTTCTTGCTGCCCTTTGCATTACTTCTTTCCTTCTTGATTGCACAGGCTGAAAGTCTAGGAACTTGGACTTCTGCCTGTCTCTGGAAAGGGGCCCCAGGCTGTCCAGAGTAACAAATTATCTGCTTATCACAGTTGACACTGCTACCATTCTACTTTATTATTTCCGGCTATTATTTTCCCTGATTTTTGGGAAGCTGACTGCAGCTTTTTATCTAGATGCTCACACTCCATCACCGCTCTACCACCTCCTCTGTCTACTTGCCTCCCACCTTTCTGCGTGGGCTGCCCTGCCTTCTCCACACAGCGAGTCTTTATCCACTTCATCTGGTTTATCTGCTGAGAGTCCTCAAGGTTCAGTTGTTTCTCCATTGTTATTTGCAATTTATCTGATTCTAAACCTGACATTATATCTCACTGTGATATACAGTTATCTGGCTATTGTTTGTCCAATGCAAGTATATTATTTTGCATCCACTTTTTTTCTTGCTTTTCGAAGTTGGGAACCATGTCTGTAACATCACAAAATCTGATGTCTGCAAATCATCCCCGTAACTGCAGAGATAAGACAGGACTCATTACCATTCATGTTATCCTCACTTGGGGAGAACTCAGGTCAAATTTCTTTACCCTTGGATAACACTTTTCTTTAATTTTAAACTTGTCCTTTCTCTCTCTCTCTCTCTCTCTTTTTTTTTTTTTGTATCTTTTTTGAATTCAAGACATTCATTCACCTCCCACAGCTTGCTTCTCTGATTGGAAGACCATTTCTACTGGTGGCAGGCATAGTGTAAATATTTCATTTTTGAGGTTTGTTCAGCAAGGACTATTCGGACTGAAGATGAAATGCCAGCTAAAGTCCCTGTGTGTGAAGAACATCATGTTCAGCCTTTTTCTCCCAAGGCAAATTATTTGCTTAACTAAGGGTTTCTTCCTTGATTACAGTCCTTATTATTGAGATCTTGTCTGAATTTCCCAGGTGTGTTTTGAATTTCACAATCTCACTCTATACTCCACAGAGCTAGTCTCAGAAAATAGATTTGCATGTGCCCCCAGCTCTGACGGAGACAGAGCCCTTCCCTAGACAAAAAGCCCTGGGAATAAAGGGCTAAACAGTAACACAGTATCTGGGCATGCTAATTATTATTATTATTATTATTGACTGAGGACATTGGCTGGCTGTTAATAGACACATCTATTAGGTGTCATATTGTTTGTCTTGGGACATTGCTTCTCTTGATTTGTAAGATTTTAGAGGAGAATGAAAAAACTAGGTGAAAATTCAACAAGTAATATTTGGTTTTGGCATTTAAAGAAAACACATAAGCACCTCTGATGTGCCAATCAATGTGCCAGGCACAGGAACACAAGGGTGAGTAAGAAAGTAGTCAGTCTTTAAGCATCTTCATATATAGTGGGAGAGAGAGACATGCAGACAAGCAATTATAACATGTTGATACATTCTCCGACAGAGACCTCTGCAAAATGCCATGGGAGTCCAGAAGATGAAGTTATAAATTTCCCAGGGGTACCAGGGACAGTGTGTCAAAAAGTGAGCCTTGCAAATGACTGGGAGTGTCTCAGATACGGAAGGTGAGGACTGCATTCAGGCATAAGCAGCTCTGAGTGTGGAGGAATGGCCAGCTGGGTTGTGGAACAGGACAGAAGGCGAGAGTGAGGGCAGAGGAGAGAGGGCAAAGGCCTGGCTAGAAAGGGAAATTAGAGGCTGGCAGTAACAGAGCTCCCCCTATGTGAATATCAGATATCAGGTTCAGAGTGCCTCCCAAAAAAACAAGGGAAGGGGGAGAGGGTGGACCTTCCAAAGGGACATCAGCAGAAGATTCTGACTTTCTCTTCTTTTGAAATTACCACCCATTCCAAGCTCAGATGTCTGTCCTCATGCTGCCTTTCCTACTCAGTGGCTACAGGTCTGGGGACTAACCAATGGGCTTGTTCTTGACCTTGCTTCATGGCATCTGTTTCTGTTTAGACATCCCCACCTTCTTTTGTTCATTTCATTTTTTTTACGCTCTACTGATTTAACCATGGCCTCTTTTATATCCTATTTCAGTTAAGGCCCTGCTTTCATCTTCTCCACTGGCATTTCAGGCCTTTGCCCAGCTAAGCAGTGACCATATATGCCAGCGCTAGGTACCATCCTGGAAAGAGAGAATCAGATAGGATGGGCAAAGGCCTGTCTTAATGAGTGCTATTGAGATCTACTTGTAAGAGAAAAACAGATGTGGTTTCTATAACCTCATCAAGAGACATGTTATTCAGGATGGGATCAGGTGGGGGAAGGTGAGAAGATAATAGTAACTACGTCTGAAAGGAGAGGTATGTGACATTACCATGACAAACGTTAGAGGAGAGGTGGAGATGCTAAGGTATGGGAGCTTTTAACAATTGCTACATATGAATAATATTGGGAGATTATGTGAAATTATTGGGAGTAGTGTGAAAGAGAAGCGTAAAATTGGAAAATAATAGGTTTGGTGAATTACGGCACTTAGTATTTTCTCTGTCATTACCTTCCCTCCTTCCACCCCCTCAGTCATATCAAAAGTATCAAAAGCAGGTATGCAGAATGCAAGAAGGTGAGAAGAATGACAATCTTACTTTCTCGATCCCTGGATCCCAAAGCATGTTAAAAATGTTAAACCAGCAGTTTGCTCACAGAGACAGAAGCCAACTGTGGGGTGAAATTGCATCAGTAGGGACATGAGGGTAGACTTGAGAAAAATAGGGTTGCAAGGCACTAAAATAACAGAGGGAGGGCATTAGAGTTCCCTCTGTGGAAATCTGTTAGAAGAGGAGAGAAAACCATCTGTCTGGAACAGTGTAAATATAGTCATGCTTATGCCCAGGGGATGGACTTATTTTTTCCTTTTAAACAATTTTAACTGAAAGTTTTATGTGAAAACACTATCAAAGTACAAGAGAGTACTTAGTATTCTGTTTTAGTTTGTTATTATTTTATTATTAAACATTGTACAGTTAGCATTTTCCACATTTCTGCTTGGTCTTTACAGTTATTTTAATGGCTGCATAATATCCCAGTATATTGTAGAATTGTTAATGTAATAATATATCTGGTATTAGCTCTGTATATCCATTGCTGGCCCAATATTTGAGTATTTTTATAGACTTCTTTAATTCCTCTGCACTGTTCAAATTAGTCTGCCTTTCCTTTCCCAAATATTCCTAAACTTCTACCTGCAACCACCCCCACAACCACCAGCAGAATGCCCGTTCCACTTCATCTCTACTGGCCTATAGGGAGGAAACACGGGTGGTGGTAAAGGCTTCGCTGTCAGGTCAGAATCAGGTTTCCCATTTTTATTATTTACTAGTTTGGGGATCCTGTGACACTGGGCACATTATTTCATCTTGTGAGCTCAATTTCTTCATCTGGAGAATATCTGTAATTATATGTATCTTGAAGGGTTGTGTAAGGATTAACAACAACATTTATAAAGTGCTTGCTACACAGTAGATGCCTAGACGGTCTGATTACTGGGGACCCCACGACAAAGAAAGTTGTCTTCTTACATCCAATTAAAAGCACGTCGAGGGCAGGAATCTTATTTTCTTTGCCCCCGAATCCCCCAATGGTGCAGAGGGATTTATACGATTCATGCTTGTTAGTTGATTATGTAGATCTTTGCTGAATATCTGACTTCAAGGACAATGTTGTCAACTTGTATATGATTAGTGTGGGGTCGGGGGGTGTTAGGGGCAGAGGGAGTGGAGGAGGTAGGGCTGTTGAGCATGTGCTTTCTGAGTTTCTGAACTCTTGCGCCTCCTGTCGGCAGCCAACAGGTTCTAAAATGGCGGCAGCTCATGGCCCAGTATGGGTCTGCAGCTCCACCTGTAAGGAAGGCAATCACAGAGCAGGCGCAACTGGCAGCTCTATGCAACAACTACCTGTTATCAGAGGCTGCCTGAGGCCCCAGCATAAATATTCAGTGTGCCTTTCACACCACGACAATTTTAGAGACCAGGTGCACCAAAGATGCACAGGCAGATGAGAAAGGGAGAGGGGAGGAGGGAACCAACCCACAAACAAACCCGATTTCTCTGCTCCTCACAAAACATTTGCTTTTTACAAGCACACAGATAAATCCCCAGCAGCACAGGGAGTGCCGAGAGGGAAGCTGGCATTTGAAAGGCTTGCAGTATCAGCTAATTGGTCTCAAACCTAAATCATAAAAAGACCTGTAATTATGCTGTTCAGAATTAACACAGAAGACTGTCGGGTTGTTGGTGGTGGAGAGAGGGAGGGGCGACAATGGGAGGAAGAGTCCGTTTTTTAAGTGAATTTATACTATTATAAGACCTGTCGCGGGTGAGTAATAAAAATGGCGATGCTAAGTTAAGCCTTGTGTTATCCTGTTTGCTCAGATGCTGCTTATGCCAGCTGTAGCCAGCAGAAAGCACTTTTCAATTTATTTTTATGACTCTTCTCTAAAAGCATTCCATTAAAGGAATATTACTCTGTATGAAGTTTTGAGGCACCAGTGGCAGTTTATTTGCTTGTTGTGCTGGAAAGGAATAAACAGTTATCTGTGGTACCCATTATTTCGGTTTTGTCTTCCTCGCACTCCAGTTAAAGGTCAAATGTGGATTCTGCCATCTACCCTTCTATTGAGTGCCCCTCCTCCATTGGATTTGGCTGAATCTGGGTCACATTTCAGCCCAGTCTGGTGATCAGAACCGCTGAGTCTCGAGTTTGCGACTTGCTTGGGTAATTTCCGCCATCCCATTGGTGAGATGAAGCTCCTGCAGCCACGCTGCTTGTTTGCAGAGGCCGAGCGGAGCCAGGCAGGAAGACATCTCCTAAAGTGGAGCCTGTTCTATGTCTCTAGCTTGTCAAACTCGATTATTTGGTTCCTTTGGCAACGTATTCTACAGAAGCTGTGATGTGCAAATAGGAGAATGGTCTCTTTCTCTCTCACATATAAAATGGGTCTAAGGGACAACATGGCACAGTGGTTGAGAGTACAGTTTTTCGAGGCATATTGCTAAGGTTTGAAATTTAATCCTGTCGCCATAACATCTGCTATCTTAGGCAAGTTACCTAAGCTCTCTGCATCTTAAGTTTCCTAACCTACAAAATAGGGATATAAACAGTTCCCACTTCACAGGGTTTTTGTGATAATTAAATGAGGTCATACATGTAAAGTGCTTAAAACCATGGATGTCACATAGTGGGTGCTATCTGTGTAAGTATTAGTCATTCTGTTGTTAATATTACTGCTGAGATCTCAAGGAATGTAAGAGGATACTGGTGTGTGTTTTTTTGGTTTTTTGGTTTTTTGGTTTTTATGGCTCTGATTTTACCACTAGCTTGCCATATCACCTTAAAATCATCACTTATCTTTTCTGAGAAAATAATTCAGCCCCTGTTCTCATTCATGGAGGGATATGAAGACCAGCAAAATGCAAAAGTCATGATACATGTTTGGCCTTATGATTATTTATGATGTCTTTATAACCCAGATGAATACAGTGCTAACTCATGGTGTCAGCATGCTAATGTCTAAGCATATTTTCAAGATCTATTATTGGGACATGAATTTACTCATGTTGTGGGTTGTTATTTAAGTGATAGAATCTTAGAGTTGGAAGAGATCTTAGGAGCCATGGACTTTTTATTTTTAGCCAGGCATTCCTCCTATAACAGCTGCAATTTGTGGCAGGCTACAACCTGTGCTATCATGGGTCCTTTAATGGTGGATTCACTCTTGCAAGCTCATCTCTCCTAGTTCTAGATGACAGAATGCTCTCCTTAAACTTCACTGAAATTTTCTTTCCCCTAGCTTTCATATAGCTGTGTTGGTTCTGCTTCATGAACCTTCCCAGAACAAGCATAATTCCTTTCCTCAGGACAGCTCCTCACGTATTTGCAGACAGCAGTTCTTCTGAGGTCTTTTCTGTTCCTGGCCAAGTTCCTCCAAACATTCCTTATATGCCACAATGTCCAGACCCTTTGTCCTCATAAATGGATTGTGCCCACATTGGCAATATCTTTCATATAATGGTATTCTTGAAGCTGAGTACAGAATTCTGGTCATTGCTGGGCCTTCTTAGATTGTGATGTTCTTCTATCAGTGTGACCAAAGATGGCTCTCACCTCTTTGATTGCTACCAACCTTGGTCAAATCACTCATGCTTTGAGACCAAATCCCCCTTCTATTCAATGGGAACAATAAAACTTACATGGTGAAGCCATCAAATGATTTGGGTGAGCTTCAAAGGTGAACGATATATGAAGGGATTTGTTATAGCACAAAAATGAGAGTTTGGGTTCAATTGTACTGATACTGAGCTTATGTAGTCTGCTACAAACCTTGTTATTTTTCCTCTGTAAATATTGCAACTAGCCCATTTATTTTGCCACACTTATAACTGTAAAGTTTCATTTGTTAGCTTTTCTTGACATTCCAGTTTGTAGACAATCTTGATTTTGCCAACCAGTTTACTGGCCATCACTTTCTGCTTTGTGTGATCCACAAATTCAAGAAGCATGGATTCTGTGGTTTTACCTAAATGATAAACACAAATGTTGAACATTTTCCTTCACAAGAACTCTTCAGTTAGCTTCTCCCTATTTACAACATATACAGCTAGAAATAACAACAACTTCTTCCTTTTCTCGCTCCTCATCCCAAACATGTTTCTCTCACAAAAGCAGTTTCTATTTTGTTGTAAAGGTATTTAGGTAAATACCTTAGCATTTTCTGTAGATTATAAGCTCCTTAAGGACTGGGAATGTGTTGAATTATTGTTGTGGCTCCCAAAGACAATGACCCTGTCTTGTGTGTATTAGGCAACCACTTGAAGGCAAGACTATAGGGCTAAGGGCAGAGTTTTTTACATCCTTCAAAGAAGACTCTCCACTAATTATGCCATCATCAAGCACTTATTTGTGTAGTTTGTTTGATTAATGTAAAGAGTGTTATAATGATTATCTTCTGTTAAGTCCAAAATTATAATGGGGCTGAGATGTTACTTGACTTGCAAGCTAACCTTCCTGTGTAGGTACGAGTGTGTGTACACACACACACACACACACTAACAGAAACACCAGACCTCTGCATTAGAGAACAGACCATTTACTCCTAGAACATCTTAGTGCTGGTTCCCTGTGCCCCAGTCAAGCACAGACTGGTGTGCCAAGGGCCTGATACTATCTGTGCAAGCAGTGGGGTCACACCACAGAGGAGGAGCCCCAAATTCATGAGGCTTGAAACTTCTACAGTATGTCTGGCACATCTGCACTGATCTAATTCCAGAGAGAGAGAGAAAGAAAGAGAAAGAGAGAGAGATCCTCTCTGGGGTGGAGAGAAGGAACTCTACTCACCACTCTTAGAATATAAGAAAATAGCAAAATAGCTCTGGAGGAAATGAATCTTTTAAATATCTCTGGAGGTATGCACTGTCTCTAATTGAATGTTTACCACTGTTTACCATTGAATCCTCTCTTTAACCTGGGTTTGCAAGAAAGCCCAGACCATGCAGAAAGGTGAACATATTCACGGAGAGCTGTTTCCCAATATCTTCTGCAAAGAAGCCACCTTAAGTAGCCATACACAGACTCTAAGATATTATCCGTGCTGAAAATATTTTATGTTCCTATTTGAGGATGGCTTGTAGTCCCAGTGTTACATTGTTTTTACTTGAGTGTGTATATATATATATTTTTTGCTTTAAGGGAATCACCAGTAGTAATTTTTTAAGTCCCCAGAATAATAATTTGACCTAATGGGGTAAGTAAAGTAGCAGACAAGTTAGGTAATATAAAAATACCAGTAAAGAATAAAGTCACAACAATGTATCAAAAATTAAGATTTACTACCAACTAAGACTACCAACTTCTCTTTTGGGCCTTGCAAACTGGCTGCAAAAGTTACAAAAAAGTAAATCAGCAGCATTGCTGGAAAAAATGATGCAGCTCTACAATGATATCTTTTAAGTTTTAGTACTACTTTGGTTGTATAATTTCTGCTTGCCTTTTTTTAAAAAAAAAAAGTCATATTGCCACTGTATAGTACTATCTTACATTTCCAAAGTCTTACCCAACACTGTGTTTGCTAGGCACTATGAAAGATGCAAAATAAATAGTATTACTGGATCTGCAGGAATATTTCAGTCTAATTGGGAATATTACAGTCTAGTCGTGAGGATAAAAATAAATCCATGCACCAAATAGAAATATGTAAAATAGTATAGGATATATAGGTTTGGAGAGGTTCAGTGTAAATAAATTTTCAGGGCTGGTGTATATTTAACATGAACAAGCGCAAGATTGGGGAGCTGGAAAGTAGTGATGTGCAGAAGAGACAACGTTGGGCACCTTTTCTGTTTGCCAAAAGAGTGGAGGAGGGCTTCCTTTTACCATGGGCATTAATTTCTCCAGAGTACCCAAATAAAACAGAATTCCTAATTTTCTCTAGAAACTGTCCACACTTCAGAACAGGCTATTATAGGGGCAGATAAGGCATAGGGAATTTGGTGTGAGAGTAAAATAAGCAGGGGTGGGATGATGAGAAGTTCACAGGAGCAGAGTGAACTGAGACACAGCAAACAGAAGGAAAATATAATCAGAGAATTGTGAGGATGACTTTTGTAGCAAGTATATGAGACTTCCTTGTTCAGATCCAAATGAAAGACTCACTTAAAGTAACTGTTGGAGCAAATTGCTTCTCCTCAGACCTTTCAATTTCTTTATGCACTGATTAGTGTTTTGTTTTTTATTTTTTGCCTGTATTGTAGTCTATGTATTTTCTGCTTTATGCTTTTACTTAATTTTTCCCCCTAAGCCCTGGCTCCCTTCCTTTGATTACCAACTTCAGATACAAGCTTACACAATTGGAAGAGGAGGCTGGAGGTTCATCTTCTCTGGACTGTAAAGATGACAAATCTCTCTCAACTCTTTGGTTAGAAAATGCAATTAACTATATGGCCGGGTGTGGTGGCTCATGCCTGTAATCCCAGCACTTTGGGAGGCTGAGGTGGGTGGATCATCTGAGGTCAGGAGTTCGAGACCAGCCTGGCCAACATGGTGAAACCCCATCTCTACTAAAAATACAAAAGTTAGCTGGGTGTGGTGGTGGGTGCCTGTAATCCCAGCTACTCGGGAGGCTAAGGCAGGACAATCACTTGAACCCGGCAGGCGGAGGTTGCAGTGAGCCGAGATCACGCTATTGCACTCCAGCCTGGGCAACAAGAGCGAAATTCTGTCAAAAAAAAAAAAAAAAGAAAAAAAGAAAAGAAAAGAAAGAAAATACATTAAGTGTACTGGAGTGTGCTCTCTCCAAAGAAAATTGGCTGAATTGAGATGTGAGTATCCTAGAAGCTGAACCAATAAAAATCAATCATTCCCATCCCTGGGGAAATGGCACTAGGGGAAAAGTTTGCTTTGCTATCTCTGTGCTGTGGACAAAATATGTGTGATTCTTATCCAATCAATAGAAATCTCTAAAATAAAAGATTGAAGCCGTCAAGAGTTGTAACATCTCTGAGATGAAAAATGTTTGTGAGAATTATCTCCACTAAATGTCAACTCCTCTCCCTCAGCCCCCATCTAAGTGTTTGCGTAGCCTTGGAGTTGTGTTGTCTGTTTGATCAAGCTGAGAAGTCTTGAGGAATATTCAAGTCTGTATGAGACACTTAGCAGAAAACAACTAGCTGGATGAGTCACAAGCTCACCAGGCAGGAAGGAGGCTGTGGAGTCATGGTGTCCATTTCTTGTTTTTATTTTAACCTAGAAGATTTGATGCTACTCTGTGCCTGAGTACCTCCAGAAAACAATATTGCATGCTCCCTGAGGTACCCAGTGCCAGAGTCAAAGGACTCCCACTGTGAAGAAAGTTGTCCGTGTATTTAGTCTTGCTATTCAATTTCTTAATCCCAATTATACAGTGCCCTTTACTCTGAGGTCATGCTGGGACCAGAGCTGGTTATGTGCCATATGGAAGGTGACATTTCTTGGGGGGATAAATTAATGAATCTGCTACTAAATTCTTAAAATCATTTTGTTAGTCCCAGCCTCTGTTTTAATAAAGTGGGTCATTGCATAAAAATCTGCAACCACATACCTGTAGCTTGTTTTCCTAATGCTGGTCTTTTTTAAATGATTAGTTGGATTATCCTTTGAGTGAAAAAAGGTGGGTCTCTCCCACTTGCTCACAACACTCAGAGAACCTGTATTCAACTTCTAATTTTATGCTTGGCCAACTACTCTTTCTTTTTAGTTGTGTTAAAATATACATAACGTAAAGTTTATCATTTTAACCATTTTTAAGCATACAGTTCATTGGTCCTAAGTACATTTACATTATTGTGCAATCATTACCACTCCAGGACTTTTTCATCATCCCAAATTGAAATGCTGTACTCAGTAAATGATAATGTCCCAATTGCCCCTTTACTCTAGGTCCTGGCAGCCACCATACTATTTTCTGTCTCAATGGATGTGATTACTCTAGGTACCTCATATAAGTGTACTCATGCAATATTTGTCCTTTTTTAAATGTTAAGTTCCAGGGTACGTGTGCAGGATGTGTAGGTTTGTTACATAGAAAGGTGTTCCATAGTTGTTTGCTGCACTTATCAACCCATCACCTAGGTATTAAGCCCAGCATGCATTAGCGATTTTTCCTGATGCTCTCCCTCCTCCCGCACCCCTACTCCCAAAAGGTCCCAGTGTTTGTTGGTTGTTCCCCTCCCTGTGTCCATGCTTTCTCATCTTTCAACTCCCACTTATAAGTGAGAACATGTGGTGTTTGGTTTTCTGTTCCTGTGTTAGTTTGCTGAGGATAATGGCTTCCAGCTCCATCCATGTCCCTGCAAAGGACATGATCTTGTTCCTTTTTATGGCTGCATAGTATTCCATATTGTATATGTACCACATTTTCTTTATCCAGTCTATCATTGATGGGCATTTGGGTTGATTCCATGTCTTTTCTATTGTGAATAGTGCTGCAGTGAACATATGTGTGCATGTATCTTTATAATAGAATGATTTATATTACTTTGGTATATCCCCAGCAATAAGATTGCTGGGTCAAATGGTCAAGTGCCACACTGTCTCCCACAATGGTTGAAATAATTTACATTCCCACCAATAGTGTAGAAGTGTTCCTATTTCTCCACAACCTTGCCAGCATCTGTTGTTTCTTGAATATTTGTTCTTTTATGTCTGGCTTATTTAACATAATTTCTTTAAGGTTCATCCGTGTTGTAGCATGTGTCAGAATTTCATTCTTTTTCAATGTTGAATAATACTCCATTGTATGTATCTACTACATTTTGTTTATCCACTCATCTGTTGATGGACATTTGGGTTGTTTCTACATTTTGGCTTTTGGGAATAATGCTGCTATGAGTGATGGTATGTAAGTATCTCTTACAGTCCCTGCTTTCAATTGTTTTGGGTATATATCCAGAACTGGGATTGCTGTATCATATGGTAATTCTGTTTAATGTTTTGGAGAACTGCCATACTGTTTGTCACAGTGGCTATACCAGGGTTTCAATTTTTCTACACTCTCTCCAACACTTGTTGTCTTCTCTGTGTGTGTGTGTGTGTGTGTGTGTGTATTACATAATAGTCATCCTAAAGGCCAACTACTCTTTAATTTGTGGGAATTCACAAAATCCTTTCACATGGCCTTCTGCTCCATCATTTTTGACACTTACCTTCTTAGATAAATAACTTTTTTTGGTTTAGGTCCATGAAAAATTCTCCCTATTTTTCCTCCTTACTCTGGTAACCTCACTTTGGTGTCCTGTTAGGGAGCAATACTTGGTCAGATCTTTGTTAGCTGTGTGGCTTCCAGGCTCCAAGGTCACTGTGGTGACACCTCCAGTTGAGTTTCTTTTTACCTCATTTTCCAAATTGTCTTCCATGTTTCTTTTGAGATGTTCCATCTCAACATGTTTAAAACTGAGTTTGTTATTCTGGCACCATAACATATGACCTATGTGATTTTGGCAAACAATTTAACCTAAGCTTAGTTTCCTTGATTGAAAAGGGAATTAAAAATATTGCCTAGGGCACAGAATTTTTGTGCTAAAGCAGATGGGGTTTATAGAGTGATTGACGCTGTGATTGGCACATAGTGATTTTTCAATAATTGGTGGCTATTATTGTTAATTTTTCTTCTAACTGGATATGTGTCTTTATTTTTCCATTTTTTATTAGCCATAACCAGTCTTCTGTAAGCAATGTAGGCTATACACATCATAGTAAGCCTTCTTTTCATACCACTCTCCTATCTACTTCAAAAATTTCTATGATCACTCCAAATAATCAACATTTATTGCATTATAATAACCTTTTAATGAACTGTTACTTTAGCGAAAGTTTGCTGAGTCCCTGAGGCATTGACTCCAGCCTCCTCCTTCCTTAGTTTATCCTGCTCTCCACTAATAGATTCATTTTCCTAAAATAGTCTTTTCAACTGATCATTCGTATTTTCACAACACTTTATTGAGTTCTAACCTTTATTACCTGGAGGTCATGCACACATTCTGTCTCTCCAACCACAGTTGAGGATGCTTTGTGAAATCCCTGGAACTAGGAAAGGACTCATGATTCTCTAGTTATCCCCACAGCATAGACTTATGGAACTCTCTGAATCCTTTTTCTTTCCTTTGAGGTGGCCAATCATTCTTTTGGCCTTGTTGAATCATCTTCTTAAGTGAGAAAGTGAGAGTCCTTTCTTTTTTTTTTTTTTTTTTTCTTTTTGGCCCTTCCATTTCTATATCAAGGACTCCAGGGCTTAAAGTTTAATTCACTGTTCATCGAGTCTCTAGTGAACTTTTGACATCCAGTTCACCTAGGATTGCCATGTGGATCACAGGCTCCCGGATCACAGGCTCCCAGATCACAGGAGAGAGTCCCTTGGCCATGAAAAAGAAGAGGAAATAAGTTATATCCCCCAGTCCTCTCCTACCTCCTGACTGCATTCTGTTTCTAGGTAGGTCTTAAAACAGCAGTGCCTTGTCCTCTGTTTTTTACAAAAATTCTGATTTAATAACATAGTAGCAGGGGGAAATGGTGTAGTATCCTGGTTAACAGCATTGTCTCTGGGGTCAAACAGAGCTGGTTCCAATTCTGGTTTTACTACTTGCTAAGTGACACTGGGAAAGTTACTTAAGCTTTGTATTCCTTAGATTCTCTATCAGTAAAATAAGAGCAGAATGCCTGTCTGTTAGAGTTGTCGTCAGAATATAAGAAATAAAAATAAATCACTCATTGATTTTGGGGAATAAAAGGTGCTCAAATAAATGACAGTTTTGTTTTGGCATTATTATTATTTGAAAGATTTTTTTATTAAGACATTAATGGTATTAAAAGATTCCTAGGTCTTTGATAATGGTATGGTTGGGAAGGACAAGAATAGCCAAAGAATGTAAATGACATGAAACCTGTGATGCCTGAAGTTGTTCTTTCTTTCTAGCATCCCCTCTTTGTGCTTGCATCAAGCCTATGTCTGAACCGACTCTAGAGAGGGAGACTTCCAACACCAATTCTAATAGACAGTGTTGCTATTCCTTCCACCATATGCATCTCATGAGGATATTTGACCCCTCTTATTCCAGTACTTTACATCTATGCCTAGTTTATTCTAAGTCCAAAGCTGGAACACAGCATACACTCTTGCATGCCATTACTAATAACTCATACATTAGATGGGTTGATTGAAATTCGCTTACTTTAACCTTTGGAAAAAATGAAAAGCTTATTGATTGAAAACAAAGCCACTTGATTGAATGTTTAAAGACTTTGTAATTGCTCAAGGCAACATCCTAGGCTCTGGAGTATTAACAAACACTCTAGTCCACTTGGAATATCATCCTATGTAGCATTAGCCAACACTCACTTTCCCCTTGTTCAGTTACTGCTAATACCTCATGGCTTGTTGTGGCTCTTTGATACTTGATTGGATGATTTTGTGCCATTGTCTATTTGTTTGTTGTTAAATTATTTTTTCATCTAGGTTTCCAAACAATTATAACTTCAATGAAGGTAGTACAAGTCTCATTCTCCTTTTTCCCTGAAGGACCCATACAGTGCTAGGCACTTGGATTTCATTCATTTGAAATATATTGAGTACCTACTATGTGCTGTACCCTATGCTAGAAACTGAGTATATGATGGAGATAATATAGAGAAGCTTACATTTTAGTAGGCAGATTAAATCATTTTTACATTTATAATTGAGAGTGAGGGCTACTGGTAGTGGTGATAGCAGGGGGATTAGAACACCCTCATAGTAGGTTTGGGGTAGGAAGCTTTAAGGCCAAACCCACCTGTGGGTATCTTGAAACTTGGCTTTTGCAAACCCTGAGTCCACAATTTGATCCTTTTTATAAGTGGGTTGGATATTCTCTAGTCTTATCATATTTGAAAAGCTTTTCTCTCCCAGCTTCATCATATTTCATAACTCATAAAATATATGTGAAAGTCAATGACATTAGATCACTGTGTCTTAAGTCTTAAGAGTTTTCCTGTCTTCCTAATGATGTAGTGAGTCAGAAAATAATTAAAAATCATTTAGAGTGCAACCTCCTTTTCCCTCCCCCTGCCCCAATTCCCCACTCTGCCTACAAGAAACAGTAGGATTTATGTCTTTCCCTCCACCCTGATTGCTCTTGATAGCACAGGGACATCTTCACTGATGGGAGCTATGCCAGCCCCAGCAGTATTCTCAGCCTTGCTCAGATTCTCCCATGGGACAGCGAGTGGACACACAATTGCTATCACTATGGGGAAACTTCCACCTTTGAGATCACTGCTCGTTTTTTCTAACAGCAGCAACAACCACAAAAAACCACAGCTGACATTTACAGGATGCTTGCCCATCCATTTTCTCATTCGATGTTCACAAATGCCTTGGGGCACAGATATTACTTTTATTCCGATTAATATCAGCAAAGTATGACTCAGATAAAGCCGGGGACTTTTCCAAGGTCACTCTTCTTATGAGAGGGTAGAAACAGGATTATAGCCCTAAAGCTATTTCCTTTACCTTCTACTCTGCCTTGTCCACAGAGAGGAGGGTGGCAGAAGAAATAAAGGTGAGAGAAAGTTAAGGGAGGTGGGATAGATTTTGGTAAAATTTTATAGATCTAATCCCATGAGGAGGGATTTACCATATTATCCAATGCCTCATTCTACATAAGCCAAGTGAGAATATGGGTTAAAATATCCTCATCCAAGTCAAATTGACTTAAGCAATAAGAACTTTATTGGCTAACATATATCTACAGGGAAGACTGGTTTCAGGGACTCTGCTGGCATCACTTGGCCCATATTAGATCACATGCCTATTCCTCAATGACCAGTGGAAAGGGCCTGTTTGTTGGGGGGTCAAGTAATCTTTGGACTGCTCAGATTCATACTTGGAGCCAGGAGTGGGGTCAGCTTCCCTGGGAGCACTAGGCCTGCGTGTTTGGGTAGAAGGTGGATCTCTACAGTAAATGTCCACTAGAATGCTTGACAGAGAAGATAATGTAATTACTGAATTTGGTCACAGGGGGCAGAGCTGTTCATCAGTATAGATCCTGATTCTCAACCTTGGCCTTACAATGGCACCAACTAAGGAGATTTTTTAAATACCATGGCTGAGACCCCCTCCCCGCCCATCCCTAGAGACTCTAATTTGATAGGTCCGGGGGGAGCCTGGCATTGGGGTTTTCAAAATTCGCTTGCTAGGTGATTCTAATGTGAGGTCAATTTTGAGAACCATTCTTCTAGATACTTGCTACTCCCAAGCGTGGTCCATGGACTAGCAGCACTGCCCTCACTTGGGAGCCTGTAAGAGATGCAGAACCTCAGGCTCTACCTGGGACCTACTGAGTCATAATCTGCAGACTAACATCTGCGCAGGTGATTCACATGGCACTAAAGTTCGCGAAGCACCAGTGTTATAGATGATAATGCTCAAGGCCTTGATCATGCCCCATGTCTTTACCCTGGTTTTCAGATCTAGTTTGCAATTTATTAATTAGTAATCTTGGTGGGTAGTCCTCACAGATCTGCTCTACTTCCTAGTTTTCCTCAGAGGGAAACCTTGCAAATCAATGATTATTAATGATATGTATGATTCAGGATCACTTGAGGATTTTATTCTAAATTTATATGCCTGATTCCCACTGTAAAACAAGTGAAATAGACTCTCTGGGGGTGAGTTTGGATCATGTATATCCTAGGCAAAAACTATCTTCGGGTTCAGATACAGTCCAGAGTATGATAAAACATTGTATTTTCCCAAGATGAAAACCAGAGAGAAAACAAGCCAGTTGGGGATTTAATGATGATGTGAAAAAGAATGTTTTAACTCAACTCATTTCTAGACACTTGCTTCTCAGTCTGCTTGTGGACTTGGCCACTGAAGACCCCAGCAAAGAGGAGAGATCAGAGGCCTCAGGCTCTTAGGCTGACCAGAACAGGGGTGGTGGGGATGATGGATGGGGAGCTAGTGCCATAGATAGTTGCAGCATCAGCCCATCCTGCCGCTTCCCAGAGTAATAAATCCTGGAGGGAACACCAGTACATTCCTGATAGCAGAGAGAAGTCGCTCTTTAATGTGGGCCTGATAATGTCACTGAGCTCAGTCTTCTTAAATTTAAATGATTAGCAATGACCAGGCTTGCTCCTGCTTGATGCATCGCTTAACCTGGTAATCGGGAAATCTATTCCGCTTGCCTACTTAGATTGATGATGTCATGTTACACTGGGGCTTGCTTTCTCCCTGTAATGGGGGAAGAGCATGTTAGGATGCAACGGCCTTGACCATTCTGGACTCAGTCTTCCTCATGAATTTGATTAATATCACAGGCTCCCTGAGCACATCTCAGAATTGCTGAATCTGGCATCTCTAGGAGGACTATGTTTAGAGAGCATTGAGATGTTACTAATGGAGTCTGCCATTGGATGATTCTATTCATTTCGCGACTTCTGGACTTAGTGAGAGTATCCTTTTCTAAGAATTAAAAAAATGTATGTTTTTTGGTTGGGCCCTATCGAGTAAGGAAAAAACGAAATCCACCAAAGTAGGGCTGGCTCCCTATATCTACCTGTTGTGCTAGATGAAAGAGTCCCAACTTGTGGGCATGAATATCTTTAGGGATGCTGGAGTATTGTTTGGTGAAGCTCAAAGCTGATTGTTACCATAAGGTCTCCCATTCCCTATGCAGGTCCCTATCCTACCAGGGAGGACAAACAGCACTCCTCTTCTCCTTCATCCTATCCCGTTGAGAAGTTTCACTGCTCTATGCCCTTCTTTCTGGTGATTCCAAGGGACGGCAAATAACTGAAAATAGCCTATCTTCATGAAAGGTACTTTTTGTTAGGAAATACCAATGGGAGCCACTGGCAGACCCAAGGACAAGGCTGGAAAAGCGGGAAAGAGGGACAGGAAGATAAAGTGACAGATGAAAAGGAATAGAGAAAAGTGCCTGAAAAAAGAGGAGGCAGAGGACTAGAAGCAATGATCTCCAAGGTTAAGGTGATGCCCGGATTGTGATGGTGGACCAGGGAGGGAAAATGGAAATCAGAATGAAATCCCACTTAACAAACAGAATTAGCAAATATTTCTTGCTTACGTGCTATGTATCAGGACTGTGCTAGGTGCTCGTGATACAGAGCTGAGTAAACCTTGGACCTGCCTTCAAGGACTCCTATTAAGGAGAAGCAGCCATGCCACAGAGTTACAAAGCAGGGTGACAAATGCAACTGCACAAGTGAAGTACAGGATACCGAGAGAAAAGATTTCTTCAGGGAGATGATATCTGAGTTGAATTCTGGTATAAGACCAGTTTTCCAAGCTGATCTGTGGGTAGGAAATGAGAGACAATGGAGCATCTGCCTAAAGTAATGATTCTGCAGATAAACACTACTCCATTAAATCTGTTTCTCCTTCAGAATCACCAGAGAAGTGAGTGGATAGATACATTTTTCAATTCCAAACTGGTGTTTCACTCCAGTTCGGGCTAGATAATATCTCATTATGTTATTTGTACAACGCTGAAAACTCATTCACACCTTACTGTTTATTTATTTATTTTTTTGATTAAGGGATCAGTATCTAGTTCATACAGAGTTCTCCGACACTTGAGTTAAACCATACCCAGAGATCCCAGCTTGGAGTTTCTTATATATCCTGATTTCGCAAATCTGCACATGCTTGTGGATAATAATTCTAAAGTCTGAGTTAATTTGGAGCCAGATTAGCCAGAGACACAATCTAAGACTTTTATCTCTGCCCCCAAACAGGCTATTTCTTGGGCCACTAGCCCATCCACTCATCTGTTTGCTTTTAGAAAGTCATTTGTGTACAAACTGTGGGCATTACCAACTGCAGATGCCACTACCTCTCCTTGTTGCATCTCTTCTTGGGGTAGGGAGGAAGGCCCCACTCTAGAAGAGAAACTGCTCAGCTCCTCAGGCAAGACAAAGCATCAGTTCTGAGTTTTGGCACTGCAAAATTCTCTAAGCAAGGGCAACCCCACGGAGGTCTCAGTGCTGTAGATCGAGGTGAACAGTGTGTCACGTAATAATGGAAACCACTGAAAAATACATGGAGGAGAGAAACATATATTCCCAGACTGGAGGAAGATTGAAAGGCTAGAACCCAGGAAAAATATCATTTTAGAAGAGAAACATTTTCTTGGCTCCATGAATAAATCATTGACCAGACAAGCCTCTTCTCTTTTCCCTCCTTTATTTTGAAGCCAGTAAATTGCCTCTGATTTGGAAAGGAAGTTAGAAGCACCCTCAGTGCTGCCTGCCTCATGCTGCAGACAAATGAGGCAGCCATTTTAACTTTTCATGAAGATGTTTATTAGGCTCTTGAACTCTTCTGATCTAATGCTTCTTTGTTTGTGGCGGTTCATTTTTTTCCCCCATGTAAAGCATTGAACAAGTCTGCAATAGCCATTCTTACTTTAAACACTCATTTTTTTTTTTTTTTTGGTAGGCTGACCCAGTCTTAACCAAGAAGATGGGTGTCACGTAGATTTTTTTTCTCGTGTTCTAGAAACTAACCACAGATTAGCCCATTTTAGCACAGCCTATGTGTGTGAATGAATAGTAAGTTCCACATTAGTAACCCAGTGGACCAGAGAGCTGTCATGTTCTACCACTGCTACCAAGACCAGCTCAGCAGGGTCAGCCCGAAAGAACCAACCTTCTTTTTCACCCCCTCCTTTAGGTAATGCCACTGTTTGTCATCAGAAATGAAACACTGTCTTTGGGGGATTATACAAATTGAAATATTGTTTTAGTCAACAAATGTTTATGATACATTTTTTATTCTGTGTTATGAATGTGTTTCTATCCCCTTTTGTCTTTATCTATCTGGCTTATTTATGGGAATTACTGCTTACATATTTTCTGAGCCATTGAAATACAGCTGATCACATTCACTAACGTATTCCTATATTTTTCTTCATTGAGGATACTTAACTGCAGCCACATATTTCTGTCATTTTTGAGCTTCCAGGGAAAATAATTATCTTTTGATTCAAAGTGTTAAGAAAGCTTTCTTCTGCCCATTTCTGGTGTTTCCTTTCATTTCTTTGCCATGAGGTAAGTTGTCCAGGTGACTTATTGCTCCAGAGAGCAGCCAGTGTCGTCATTGCCTTTGAAGCCCCTGGGACATTTGAGATATAACTCCATAGCCAGTGCTGGCATAAATAGCATTTCATTATTATATTAGTCTAGTACAGAATATATAGCCCTATGGTCAATCCTACATGGCAATGTTCATAAACCTACCACAAAGTGACTAGAATTAATAGAATGTATATATTTCCATTTCCTTTTTTAAAAAATTATTCATATACCTGAATCTACAAAGGCTGAGTCACTTCCAAAGTCCAGTCCACTGGGTCCATGCTGATTAAACTTTGGGAGTCATCCTGATTTGTGGCCCGCAAGGGAAGAACAAAAATTTAATCGTTCCTGGGTGTTGTTTATAATGCCAAGAAGACCTTTATAATTGATTCTGATGAAAGTCCATTTGAGAGCCAAGAATGAGTGTGCTGGTCCATCTGAATCAATGATTTGGAATTTGAGTGGGTTTGTTCTCTGCCACTCAGGAACCCACTGAGATGGAAAACTAGGTATGTGCCACCAACAGGGCTGCTGGGTATGGTTGTTCAGGTTCATATACTGCAACTCCAAAAGGGGATATTAATATAGCCTTTTGTTACAAAGGGTGCCCCCCAGAGGTGTGCAATGCGCAGCACACATGGTCATTCATGAGAACCCTACTTGGAGAATACTTTCCTTTCAGAAATAAATGCACATGCTATAACTCATTTAGCCTTCTAAATGGTACTTTCCTCTCTGACTTCTAGTACTACCACATGCTAATTATATCTAATGTTCTAGTCAGATGCCCCAAATTCACAGGCTATATCTACCCCCACACAAAAGTTCTGCTTGGTCCACAAAATGTTAAAAACAAAACAGAACAAAAACCCTAGTTTCCATTCCTTTAAAATAAGGAGATTTTATATTAAAATTCCAACTTCCAGCTTCGCTTGATCAATCAGTTCTGGCAACATATCACCCTTCCAGTGAGGCAACCGTTCATTCAAGCTTAGGATCTGCTGTTCCTTAAGAAAAGGCCACAACCTTGTCCCAACATGCCCTATTATCTCAGTCCTACCCTGTTTCACTAATTTGTGTTATTCGCCTGTCTCCTGTAGGCATGTCAATATGTGACCCCTGTGTCATTTACCTCAAAAGGATGTTCCCACCATTTTGGCCTTGGAACAATTTATTCTTATGACTGGAGAGCATTTGCAACATTTCTTTAAGCAGCTATCTCTGTCCTCAGGATTCCAGAATTTTTATTTGCCTCCACCCAACCATGATGGGAGTAACTGACCTAGATCTACTGTGAACCAAATGTCAAAAAGTACCTCCTCTGCCCTGAGAAGCCTGGTGGACTCCAGCCTGCGTCAACTGTGACATCTCAGCGCTGCTGTTGGTCTGTAAACCAGCCTTCCCTGTAGCTGTTCTCTACCCTCTAAAGCCTTTATTATCGTCAGGTTCTATTCTGGGTGGAGTGGAATATTAGTCTCTGTAGTGAAACTGAGCAGGGCCCCCATACTGGGAGAGCGGTGTTCTGAGGATAAAAACCAACAATGTAGTGCCTTCTGCTTTAATGAGTTTATCTTTGTTTCTCCTCTTCAGAAAATGAAATGCCCTTGCCCCAAATTTCTCTCAGTGTTGGCTTTGCAGGGCTCCTCTCCTCGTGTTCTGGGCTCATTAAATTAAGTTTCTGTTGATAACCTTTGGCCAGACCCATCTTCAGGAAGACTCTAAAGCATGTTAATAAGCCAGACTTTAAAGGCAGCAAAGATCTCCAGGCCCATGGTCCCTTTCATGCCTCAGCGGATTCTATGGCAAAAGGATGACACGACTTTTATCAAGGCTTTGGCTACATTCATATCTCATGACATAGATTTTTTTTAAAAGCAGAATTTCAAAGAGTCCTCTTTATCACCATATCTTTAGTCTTTCTTAACGGTTCATATGGATATTTCCTTAGAAGTTGTATAATCAAAGTCATAAAGTCATTTGTACATTTATATAATTTTTTATCTTCAGGGGCTCAGAGTTGGGAGAATTGTGTCTTTAAAAGCAATTGCTGATAAAAAGACCAACTTCAAATCAGCCCTGACCTTTTGTTCAACAGCTCCTCCTGTTACAGAACACATTCAAATAGCTATTTAGATATTGGAGGGGAGAAAATTCCATTGATTTTCATAGTTAGGGGGGTTGGTTGTTTCTGTAGAAAGGATTGGTGCCGAGAGGGGGTTTGGGCCCTGCTTTTCTCAGCCACACTCTAATTGAGGCTCTGAGCCCTTATGCCTGTGGGGTGGCACAGGCTGCTGGCAGGCCCTTTTGGTTTTCGTGGCTCCAGCTGAGGGGTTTGCTTGAAATAAAGTGCCCACAGGTATATGAATATGTCTGGGAGCAGGAAGAGGACAATTTCAAGAGCTCATTAGACTCGGCGATTGCTGGGAAATAGGAGAATGCATTTCATGGGAGTTCCCATGCTGTCTTAGGATCCAGGAGCTCTGGCTCCCAGGCTGTCACCTGGAAACCTCCCGAACCATGTGCCCTTCTCCTGCTATTTAGAATGTATAATTCAGCAAACTGTTTATTGGGTTCCTGCCATGTACCTGGCACCATGATCT
The DNA here is from genome assembly GCF_000001405.40 of Homo sapiens. Taxonomy (NCBI): domain Eukaryota; kingdom Metazoa; phylum Chordata; class Mammalia; order Primates; family Hominidae; genus Homo; species Homo sapiens. The sequence goes on from NC_000001.11 coordinate 208,468,560, forward strand.
GCACTCTTATATACATTATCTCATTTCATGCTTTACACTCAGTGAGGCAACTGTCTTTATCCATAGCTTATGTAATGAGGAAACAGATTCAGAATGGTTAAGAAACATACCCACAGTCGGTCAGCTTGGGAGTGGAAGACCTGAGACTTGTAACCGGGTCTTTGCTAAGTCCAGTCTTTTCTCCATCAGAGTGTATCTTACCCACTTCTAAAATAAGCAGGTATCCTCTCAACACCCATGGCCTGCAGCCATAGGCCAGAGGAGCATGTGCTTTGGATTCATGGAATTTCTTATGAACAGCTGGCTACTCTCTATTCCATCCCTTGTCAGAAAATCCTTACTGACATATGTACTAGCTAGCAACCTAAAAATGTTTATAAAGTGCCTAGAACAGTACCTGGCTAATAGTAGACATGCAATAAAGCACTGTTATTACCAGCGGCTTTCTGGGTTTATTAAGGCACTTGCACAAAATGCTCACAGTTCCTTTAGCAACTTTGAACAAGTACTAGATACTAATAGGCTTATGATTTATTTTCCTCTTTAACTAGTTAATAATCATTGGTTAGATAAACCATTTTTCCACTTATCGTATTACAGGCTAAGCTCTTTACATATTATTTTATTTAATGCTCTCACAACTTCTGAGGGAAGCATCATTTCCTCAATTTAACAGAGTGGAAAACTCAGAGAGGAGTTTTCTTTTGCTTACTCAAAGTAAGCGGGAGTGCTGAGATTCGAAACCAGGCCTGTTAATGCTAAGCACCTTGCTCCCTCTACCCTTCCTCTCAGTGATCAACAGCTTTGCCAGGAACAGGCTCTGCTCAGATTCCAGCATCTGCCACGGGGCTCAGAGATTTTTGTTTACCTTAAGCCCCAGACGTGGGTAGTAGAGTAGTGATTTTCCAATTTTGCTGCACATTAGAATCACCTGGATAGAGGAAACTTTAAAAATCCTAATACTCAGATCATACCCCACACAGATGAAATCTCTGGGGATGAGAGCCAGCAATTTGTATTTTTAAAAGATCCCCAATTGATTCCAATCAACAGCAACCTTAGCAAACTGCTGTCCTAGGCTCTCGGGGACCCCTGACTTCTAGAATCCCAAAGTCATTTTGGATAGTTGTGGACCAGTGCATGTATCTTCAAAACAGCTGGCTGCTGGGGACAGAAAGAACTATGCTGAATCTAAGAGGCATCCTCCAATTGGAGTGCAGGCCCATGAATTCTTCGTAAGTTCCCAAGCACTTACTCTCTGTTAAAGCTTTAACACTGTGCTGAAGGTGGCTCTGACTCTATCGGGCAAAGCCCAGAGGTGTAAGCAACAGCTGTGTGCCAAACAAAACTGCCCTGGAGTTTGCATGGCAGATCATGTCTTTACTACCATGAGCACCATATATATGAAGAGGCATGTGCTTTCACACATTATTCACAGCCATCTGCCCTGCTCTCATACACAAGCTCCAAATTCTCCTTTCTTTTGCCGACTGTCACCATGTGGCCTTTGCTGATGATTTATACATCATACCCTCCATTAACCGATGGGAAACGTACTCATGGTAATTTCCTTCCATCATCTCATTCCTAGTAGGCTCCCAAATAATTTCACAAAGTGTGGTCTTTTGGTTAAGTTGTTAATGAAGTGAGCTCTAATTAACATTAGGAGTGTCCTTCATACACAGTCTAAGAGAATGGCAAGATCTTGAAAAGCTCCATCATCATTAAATTAGTAAATTATTATTGCAGCAGCCTATGTGTGTTCTAACTTTTGATTTAAAAATTATCGTAGTGGGTTGATATGTTGTGTTTATCTTCTGCTAATTGAACGCTACCTTGCATTTAATCACAGTAAATTGGCCTTCCCTGTAAATAGATGTAAGGAATTTTAACGCTTGTTAAATCTCAGAAGCTCTGGAAGTGATGGGAAAGATGGGGAGGAGAGAAGGGGGCTGTGGAGGAGAACTGGGACCTACCTGGAGCCATTAGCCTCCACTGTGTAGTGTTCGCTTTAGAGGGTTAAGTTGCAGCTCTCTTCAGGTGTCAGAGATGCAGCCAAATGGCCAAGTTTTTGGTTCTGGGTTGGGTGCACCCAGGAAATCTAGAAAAAGGTAGTAATGGCCTCAACCACACACAGATAAATCCCTCTTTGAAACAGAGCAATAAATAAAAGGGCTCAGGGAGATGCCAAGCTTCAGAGTTGCTCTTGTCAGCATCTCTGCAGGAGCTGCCAGCTTGGGGGGCCTGCTGTCAATTAGGCAGTGACAGGAAATGAACAGGTAAGAGCCAGGCTGATGGCCACCACATTGTGTCCAGGGGGAGACGGTTGATTATCTCTGGAATGGAAAATGGGATCAGAATGGAGTTTTCCAATGGGAGAGGAGTTCAGAATGAAAATGTTAGTCTTTACCATGCCAAAACAGATTTGATTTTTATCTTTAGTATAGTCTCTGGTTGCCTTGGCTGACTTCCACCCTTCTCCATTGGCTCACATTTGCTGCCTTGGTGGACATTTCTAGCAGAGCCTATCCATTCCCTAGCCATTTCTCCTGAATGTCTCCTCTGCTGCAAGCTTTGCTCCAATCAGCTGCTATTTGCCCTGATCCTATATAACTCTCATACATTATAAACATCTTAAAGAAATGGTCGCCTTTCCCTTGGACTCCAGAAATCAGCTAATAATAGTAATAATAGTAACAGCCATGTTTATTCAATGCTTGTATGTGCCAGGCATGTGCTATAAGCTTTATACATCTTTTCTCATTTAGTGCTTTCTGCAAACCTCTGAGTTAGGAATTATTAGCACTGTAATTTGACCAAGGTCAAAAAGAAGGCAAGTGCAGTACTATGAACTCAAGTTGTCTGACGTAAAATAACCTGCATTTAAGGACTATTTTATCTGCCACTTTCAACTGTAAGATGCAATTCTTTCCTCCTCACAACCTACCCTTTTATCTTATATTTCTTTTTCTTTATTGTTATCGCCATCATCAAACATTTGCTAAGGGCTTTCTAAATAAAAGGCACAAGACTCTGCACTAAGAAGATGCAAAAATATATAATGTAATCATGGAGCTAGAGAGGCTAGTGGCCAAGTGGGGAGGGAGGTGGGAAGTATTATGTTTAAAATTTTTTTTTAATTTAAAAAGTCATACATTTTGACTTTTTAAATGTCACAATTCTACTCCCAAAAATATATCTTAAAGAAATAATGAGAATTTCAGCCTGAATTTTATGTACAAAATCTTTATCAAATATTTATAATAGTGAAAAACTAGGAACAATCCAAATATCCTTCAATGGGAGAAAGGTTTCTCAAACTTTTGTGGAAAATGAGCTCTAAGAGATACTTGTTTAAAAAACAGTCCAGAGTGAATACTACCTGCTATACTGTCATTTTGAAGAATCAAAATCCACGTGGGACTCTTTGAAGACTTATAGAATCCAGAATAAAGAGAAATATGTTAACTTGGTTTAACCTGTTAATGTGTATTTTATTAGCATCCCAAAAAATTACAGTTGGAAAATACTGAGTTACATAGAGACTTGAATATTTGTATGTTGGAATATTATGTAGCCATTAACAACCAACTTTTCAAGAAATATTCAAAGATGTGGGGTTGTGTTCATCATACTCTGCTAAGTGACAAAAATAGGATAGAAAGTTATACACAGGTGGCCGGGTGCAGTGGCTCATGCCTGTAATCCTAGCACTTTGGGAGGCCGAGGTGGATGGACCATCTGAAGTCAGGAGTTTGAGACCAGCTTGGACAACATGGTGAAATCCCTCTCTACTAAAAATACAAAAATTAGCAGGGCATGGTGGCATATGCCTATAATCCCAGCTACTCAGGAGGCTGAGGCAGGGGAATCACTTGAACCCAGGAGGTGGAGGTTGCAGTGAGCTGAGATCGCGCCACTGCACTCCAGCCTGGGCAACAGAGTGAGACTCGATCACAAGAAAAAAAAAAAAAAAAGCACAGTTTTAAAGTTTTAATTTCAGTTTTATAGTGAAAAAAAGTGGATGGGGGAAAAGAATTTAAGGATTAACCAAAATGCTAACTGGTTATTTCCACATGGTAGATTTATGGGTAACTCAAATTTTACTTCCTTTCTGTATTTTCCAAATTTTCTCCAACAAAAATGTTTTATAAAGAGAAAAATGTTGCTTTCAAAAACATACGTAGAGCAATTAAAAAAAATACATGGCCGTATATGCTAAGTGGTCTAGGTTCAGATCATAGAAACTAAAGGAGTTCAGAGGAGGAGGAGAGCTAAGGTCACCTGGTCTGTATTTTGGCCGAGTCTCTCACATTTCTGCATGAAGTCTCCCTCTGAGCTAAGCCAAACTGTGCTACTTCTCATTTTCTCTATATTCTCTTCCCATTCCTACTTCTGTGCCATTGCTGAAACTCTTCCCTTGGCCTGGCCTTCACTTCTCCACATCTGCAGTCCTATGCACACTGTCAGGCTTTGCAGAAAATGCCAATTCGGATAACACCCCCAGTTGCCTCACGCCCCCCCCTTCTCTAACACTTTTGTTTCTTTTATATTCTACCTCTTATTATGGTTGCTGATGTACAATGTCTTATCTCTTTACTCAACGTTAAAGCTCCTCGAGGGCAAGACCACACGTTGTCCTTTGCAGTAGACTGAAGACACACAGCCTTTCAACACCTGTCTCAGTAATTCATGCGCAGAAAGTCTTAACTGAAGTGAGCTTTGAGGGAAGAATAGGACTCAAGTGGAGACAGAGTATTCCAGGAAGGGGGAGCAGCATGAGCAGGATCTTGATGTAGAACCTGCGTGTCATGTTTGGGGAGAGGTGAGTATGCATGCTGGCATGGCTGGAGGTGCGGATCGTGGAGGAGTTGGGAAATCAACTTGGAGATGAGGAATTGGAGACAGATTTTTCACGAAGGGTCCTAAACAGGCTACGGATGCTGACCCTTCTTTTGTAGGAAATGTTTTCATACTTTACCTTGTACAAGAACCACTAGCAGTGCTTTCCAGAAGTGGAGAGCCCCAGAGCCTACACTCAGAAATTGTGATTTAGTCAAGAAATCTGGGCAGCTGGGAAGCTGCACTGTTGATAATAATCACAGGAAAATCTTTGGCAGAGGTCTGAGTGCCAGGCGTGGAGGAGCACAGCTCGACTGGCAATGGGAGAAGCAGAGGGATGTCACAGTAAAGGCAGCATCATTGTCCTTGTCCTGGGGCATAGAAGAGTGGGGAGACGGAATAGGACAGCAGGCAGGGTGAGGTCCCTGCAGCCACACAAACACACAGGAGTGAGGAGTACACTTCAAAGGTCAAAGCTGCAGCGAGCTGTGATTGTGCTACTGCACTCCAGCCTGGGCACCAGAGCAAGACCCTGTCTCAAAAAACAGACAAACAAAAACCAAACAATTTCACAAAATCTCCCTGGATTTCTCAGGCTCTGTTTCTCCCTAAGCCCCTCAGGTGCTGGAGCATTGAGTCTCTCAATCAGGCAGTGTGTAGACAGGAGGTAGGGACTGCTCCCAGATGCCTCCCCTTCCTTGAACAGGCACAGCTGTCCTCCATGGATAACTTCATCACATTGAGTTTGGTTTTTTTCCTCAGTCTTTGCTTTGGGAGACTGGGCTTCCTTGGTGATGCTTGTGGAGAATTTTCCTGCTTCAATTGAAAGAAAAATTCAGATGACCCTCTGGGGTAAATATTCCCATTTCACTTACTGCAGAATTCTTACCATCTGTTTTTCCAAGACAGTTGTGGAAGATATTATGGGCTTATTTGTGCATTTAGGACATACACAGAAAGGACAGAGACCCAGAATTGCAGGACTTCTCTGTGCCTCTTCCAGGACGCGAGTGTGGCATAAAGAGGAAAGGGAAGCCTGCTTAGAAACAGGCCCAACAACAGAAGCCTCCAGGTAAAGGTACTGAGGAAGGGGACTAGAAGGAAATAGTTGCTCCTGAGGGGAGTAACTCAGAGAAGCTGGTTGTATCTGTTAGAAAGACAAATCTAAATGACTGAAATTTCAAAAGCATCTAAGGCATCCTTGCCCCATCGATGGAGTTTCTTGCTACTATTATTTAATATTTATCTGCATTAAGTTTTTGCTTACCTTTTGTAATCCTCATAATGATGCCCTGAGTTAGGTAATACTACTACCCTGTGCAGACAAGGAGACTGCGGCTCAGCGTGGCTAGGCCTTTGCTGAGTGCATACAGCTAAGATTCCCTGAGTGAAAATCTGGGATGGGGGTGGTGAATAGAAAAGAAGGGGAAGGATAATAAAACTCTTTAATTAGGATTCAGTGATCTGTGGAGATACTAATTTTTGTTTGGAACTGCAATGCGGTATGTCACTAGAAAGGACCAGTCAGGGCTGTTCATCTGCAAACTGGAATGGGAGTAGACACAAAGGTGGGGGAGTGAAAGACAATTAGAGAAGAGTGAAAGATTCTGAAAAATGTTGAGGTACAATAACCTTTTATTAAATAAAGGCTCTTTGCCTTAAACTCGTCCCCTAGAGTAAAGGAAATGCCTGGGTTTTCACCCCATTGTAATATTGTAATAAAAACAGTTTTCGCATCCTGCCATATTGAGCCTGCTTTATACTGACCCAGCCTCTACGAGATGAGAGAAGATAAACTCATAACTGCAAAGGTGTGTCTTAAGATGGCAAAACCCCTCAGCCCTTTTGGAGTGAAGTTTATTTTCAGCACCATCCCCATTCTCAGAGGCCCTTGGCTTCTGCTCCCCACTGTGTATTTAGGAGATGAGGAGGGAAGGAAAGCTCTCTTCTTGTGGGTTAACCTGAGATCCCAGTAGAGCTTCCTAACCTGCCCTCTCAGGTCCATGTTTTGCTACTTGAACTCCTGCCTTTCAATCACATAGTGCTCCTCTCTCTCATTCATTTATTGAAAACTGAGTTGTGTAAGCCCCAAGCACAGTGGAAGCCATGACATAGGGATAAATGAAAAATAGCCTCTGCCTCCTGAAGAGCTTCAACCAAATGAGGAAAACAGCATGTTAAACAGTTGCAATGCAGTGCAATAAATGCTATGATATTACAAGATTCCATGGGGACTCAGAGGAGAGAGTAATTAGCCATGCGCAGCGGAGCTATGACTCAGAGGAGGATGTCACAAGCTGGATCTTGAATGAAAGGAGATAGGATTGCCAAGAGGAGAGGGGAGAAGTGCGCTTTCTGCAGAAGAAATGGCATATACTGAAGGGATGAGGTTTAAAGGAGAAGGACGTGTTCAAGAGCATATTTTTGCTCATGCAGAATGCTCACTTTGTTATCTGGACATACTCATTACTTAATACCCAGCAGTTGTTTTTATTGTTGTTGTTGTTTGGGGCAGACTTGGCACCAGGTTACCAAAGGCCTTGTAAGATTGGCTGTGTGTGTGTGTGTGTGTGTGTATGGACAAGTGAGGATCATCGAATAGTTTTTCTGTGTTTCATAACTGCGTTTGGTGGGTTTCATAATTGCATTTGCTTATTTAGATACTCAGGCTGCAAAGCCAAGAATGGGTTTTCAAGAGCAAGATTGGCATAGAAAAGCCAGTTGGAGAGGCTTCACCAATCCTTCAGAAAGCAGTGCTGCGGGCTAAGAGGCAGAAAGGATGGAGAGAAGTGGACGAATTTGAAGAAATTTTAAGAAATTAAGCCAACAAGACTCAGTGGCTGATTGGATGGGAGGTGAAGGAGAGGAGAAGTCAAGATCACTCTCAGACACTACAGAAGTTAGGGCTCTCATGACTGAAGTTATGAAAAACAAACTGTCCCATCCATGGATAAAAGACTTGCCTGAGTAAGCAAGGGAAAAAGAATATGAGCCAGGAATTCCTGGCCCCTCTCTCTTGTGTGCACTGCCTCTGCTGGCTGGAATGCTGTGTTTATACTTAAGAGCTCTTTGACACTCTCCAAACCATGGGTTTCAGCAAGACCACCCAGGGGAGAGCTCAGAAAGCAATGGGATGCTGTGTTAACAGGATGCAGAAGTCTCCAGGCAAGAGAGTGTTTATAGTTTAGCTTTGCCCTGGGCTTGATATAAGATACTGCCTACATTTGACCTTGTTCCAGCTCCACTCTGACATCATCTCCTGGTCATTATTGACCTTTCCGCTCAGATCAGGCATGGAGGAGGAGGTGGAGGGAGTGGGGGTGCCTCATCTGCAGGGGAAAACAGAAAGTAAGAGTGATTTGTAGATCAAAAGACAGCCTGACTAGGGCCACCTAAATTGAATTCCCAAATGGAAACTGGGAGTCTGCTTGAGAATGCAGTTTAATTAACTGTGATGTTCAGATTGCTCCCCATCTGAGTGAACATGATGGACTGCTCTGAGAGCATAGCTTGGCAGGGCTGTGGTGCAGGAGCTGAAGAATCATCTTTCACAAGGAAGCAAGGGGTCATGGACTCAAGCCAGGTGCACAGGCACCTGCCTTCGCGACCTGGCAAAGAGAAGGTACACAGAAAAGGGGAGGGGGTGCAAGTATTTCACTCTTGGAGTCTATGAAAGAGACAGAAACTGGAAGTAGAGAGTGAGAAGCCCTCAGGGGTTTTTATGCCTGTGATATAACAGAGCTTGGAGTTTGAAGAGAACTTAGACAATATTTAGTCTGATTCCTCCATTGTGCAGAGGTCGCAAGTTGTTAACTGGCAGAGCCAGAACACAAACCCAGTCTTTCTGACTCCAGAGGCCTTAGAATGTAAGTCCTGTACCTCCTGCCCAGACTCAGGAAGTGGAGAGCTGAGCAACAATCTGGTTGATTTCATCAGGATCATTGTCCGACCCAAATAACAGCCTTCCAATCCCTCAAAGACAATTATTTTTCTTTAATAGCTGACTCTTACTCCTCTGCCCTCTGAACCTAGTTTCCCTGCTGGAAATCGTTTAGATTATATTCATAATAAGAGGACCAAGTAAAAACATGGGAAAAGAGAGTATTTTCTCCTAGTTGTTCTGTTTTTCTTTCTCCCAGCCAGGTGGTATTTTCCTGTCAAATGTCGGGGCCTCAAATAGATCAGGAGCTCTCCCCATCTTCCTAAGTCTCTGTTAGGCAACACTCTGTAGATGGGCCTTTTCCTTTTCACACCGTTCATATCAAAGTTTACCTGTTCAAGGGTTTCTCTCCTCTGAGATCATTGTTATTATGAAAAAGATATATCTGCCAAGATGTTCATAATGACCAATGATACCTTAACTTGATAACTTTCATACATTTTTTAAAAAATATTTTTATTTAAAAATCAACATATGATCTTGATTTAAAAAGAGAAATAGTACAAAAGAGAGTACAGTAAAATGCTAAATGCATGCCCCAAACTCCAAGTCACAATTTCCAGGCCAGAAATTATGTCTTTCCCAAACTAGTTTATGTATACACAAGCATATAAATGTATATTTTAAACACATTTAGAACCACACCATAGATACTCACCTGCTACTTGACTTTTCCATTTAAAGATGTGTCCAGATTTGTTTCCACATCAGAATATATAGGTCTACCTCTCCTTTTTAACAGCTTCCTTGTCATTTCATTGTGTGGATGTACTATAATTTAGGATGATAGGCATTTAGGCTGTTTCTAGTTTTTTTCCACTCTTACAAATGATTTTTAACATTCTGATGGTAAAGTACATTTTCTGTAAATGCTTTTGCATTGAAGCTCCTTAAACTTAGCAGGGGGAAAAGTAACTCCTCTTACTGAAGCTGGTGGTGCTGGTGGTATTGGTGGGCTCAAGGGCTGGTGTGTCCTGCCCTTTCTGGTGCACCTCCGAGGAAATGTTCAGGGAACTGCTAAGGGTCCTGGAAATTTGGTTTGAAAGCTGTTGATGTAATTGCATATTTACTTTGGCAATGGCATTTATTTATATTTAAAAAGAAGGTTTCTAAAGAATGAACTGCAAGTAGAAGAATTTGGGGCACTACACTAGACTATTATTGGAGATGACCTGGTAGGTAACTCTGCACTTCCCATTTCAAAACCACACCAGAGACACTCAATTCACCAATGGGAGGCCAAATAAAAGAGCTCTAAGCTGGGAATAATGACTACAGGGATCCTGTCTCTTTCTCTTTGTGAATTACACATCATCTTCAAGTCTTTGTTTCAAGATGAGTAAAATGGCCAGAAAACTCTTGCCCCTCTACCAGTTATCATAGAAAATATAGGTAAACTTCTTGGTATTCTAGTTCATGACATGCAGATATAAAACGTGATTCTCATTGTCTTTCTTGATCCTTTAGATAATAGGAATTTAGGAGATAAAGTTAATTTGGAGATGAAAAGAAAGATATTGAATTAGACTTTGTATATGTCAAGTTCTTAAGAGGATTTTTACATGTAGTTCTTGGATTCAGGAGTGAGATCATAGTTGGAGCAATAGAAGCAGGAGTCACGGTGGAGTCAATACATAAATGAATAAATGAATGCCTACCCGAATGAATAGATGAGAGGGAGGGGCAAAGGGCACCAAACTCTTGGTCAAAATAATCAGTATTTTTCTTGCGCTTATGAAAACATATCTTTTTTTATGTACATTTGATTCATTTCTTTTTGAAGCCTGAACTATCCCCTGCAGAATGGCTTAATTTCCCTAATAGTCCAGAGGACTGGGGGATTTTGTCTTGTTTTCTGAGGCTCAGAATCCTAGCATTGCAGTTGTGCTAACTGAATCCTAGGTCCTGAGTCTTTCTCTGATTAACTTTCCAAGTGACTCAGTTTCTCTAGTGTTGGGGTCTGCCTTGCCATTGCCTGTTTCTCTACACTTAAGTTTCCCCTAGCGTGATCCTAAAGTCATCCACATCAGAATCGTCAAAGAACTTATTAAAATTCTGTACTACACTTAAAGATTAAAAAACTCTGTAGATGATGACTGAGACTCTCCATTTTTAATTGGGACTCAATGTAATTCTTACACACACTAAACAACTATTGTCCCACACAAATAAGGGCTGAAATTCTTATTCCTGTCTCAGACCCAAGACCTTTTAATTGTCCCATAGCTGACTTCGTGTCTACCTATCTGCTTGTTTCGATCTCCGTGTGAAGACTGATGCTGTCTGTTGCCATAGTTTCCAGATAAAGAGTGCCGTCTGCTGGACTGGACTTCTTACTGAGACGTGTAGCTGGTTGTGTCTTTCTCCCAGGGGCTGGCTCCACCTCCATTAGCTGGTTTTCCTAGGTTCCGACCCTGTTCAATTGGTTCATTTCCCATCCTGCCAATTAGGGTCTTTAAAAAAGCACAACACTGCAGTCAACGTATGTAAGCAATTATTATGTACCATTGTCTCATTTAATCATTACAGCCCCAACAGATATTATTATTTTGTTACATTTGCACATATGCTCAAAAGAGTTAGAGTATGACTGTTAATTTCCTGCAAGCATGTAACATTGTGATCTTTCTTGCCATGTCCTTCCGGATCGTCACATCTGAGTCCTGTCCATCCCTTCAGATCCACAAATCCAGCTTAAGGTTGTTTTCTGGGCAGCTCAATAAAAATGCTACTGGGAATTCTTCATAGACAGATAACCAGAGCTGGCCCAGGCAAGAAGTTGGCATCTGTGAAATTTGAAATTGATTATGGACTAATAAGGAATCCTAAGTCAGAACGTTCAGGAAATCCAAGTAAGAAGAACGGCAGACAGGCTATTGGCAACAGGGAAGGGTCCTGAGTTGTAGGGATCTGAGCCTTGCACCAGAACTCAGGAACTCAGTCCTGTTGATGGAAATGGCTGCCAAAATAGTGCAGCTTCCCAGTTCCAGAGTTAATCACATGGATAAGAGCTCACATCCAGGGATATAGTTATCAGAACAGCAGTGCACAATGATGGAGCTTTAGAAATAAGTCAAAGACAGTGTGATCAGACTTTAGGCTCCAGGACAGATCCAAACTGGCCCCAAGGACAACTGAATGGGGAGTTGCAGAATAAGGAGCTGGAGCTCCTTCAATCTCTACTAAGTTCAGTGTCTGTGGGGTGGGGAGAGTGTGGTTAGTAGCTGCAGTTATAGAAAGCATCAATAAGGCTGCGAAGACTGGGACCCAGGAAGCCGAGGTCAGATGCTTTGCAGTTACAACAAAGCAGGGTTCTTTGTGTTTTGGAAAAATCCACAGCAATTTCTTGACTTGCTGGGATTTAAAACCAAAATCAATTTGTATTAGATTAGCTGTATGTCATTATAGGCCAGGCTTTCAGGCTCCACCAGTTTTAGGTAAATTGAATTGGCAATTCAGTATCCTATTCAGGTCTGAGGGTCATGCGGCTGACTCCAAGAAAAACATCAACAACAACAGAAAAACACAAACAAAAAACACACAGATCAGACAGGCAGGAAATGGAGCCAAAGGGCCACAACTTTAGAGGTGCAGACCGATAGCACAAGGAGTCCCTCAGAGGCCATCTTGTCTAACTTCCTGCTTCCAGAAAGGACAGGCTCAGAGAAGTCTAGAGAGCTGGAAATTTAAACTGTGTTAACAGTTTGCAGAGGAAGAGGGCTGTCCTTGATGCTGACTCAGAAATTTCCTGATATAATACTATTGCTAACCATTGCCAAGCACGTTCAACATGTGTAGTATTGTACTGTGCTCTGTTACAGGTATCACTTCATTTAAGCATCGCCATGTTTGAAGCAGGTATATTATTGTCACTACCATTCATGAGGAAAGCAAGGATTAGAGAGGATGAGCATATCACCCAAGGTTACCCAGCTGGTAAGTGGTAGAGCAGAATCTGAGAATAGTTCTTTTGAGGCCAACCATTTTTCCACGTCACACTGAAATTCAAAGATGGAAGCCTGAACCCCTCTGCATTCCTTGTAGAGACACTTTCCCTAAATCTATCTTTTGTCTTTTATGCCTCTCATCCTGTCTTTCCAGAAATTTATTTTTTATTGTTTTTCTGTCCAGAAAATATTTTATTTGGTTTAAGATTATTTTAACTATGACAAGTAAATATTTCCCAAACAAAATCTCTCTCTTAAAACATTGCTCTATCCCATTCCTAATCCCAGAGAAAACCAACTAAATTAGTTGGAGGCCTTTGAGCAGAAATTCCTTTATGATACATAAGACATTCAGTATGAAATTCACTGTCTTTTTCCTCTCTCCTCTACCATCCCAACTGCATGGGGAGGCAGGAATTCAGCACTAGGAAATTCAGAGCCTTCTTCTCCCCACTGTCACTGCCCGTGAGCACATCAGCCCATCCACAGGGACATGTCTGCCACTGTCGTCAATTATTATTTCTCAGGCACCCACTGGGTGCCCGGCACATCAGAGAAGAAACGAATTGACTCTGCTTTCAACAATCACCCTGCAAACAGCCAAATAATTTTGATGTTCTTCAAACATATTATAATTAAAAAATTACATGCTGGGAGAAAAATTATAAGCATTTAATCAGAAGAAAGGGTCAAGCTGATGAAATTAGGGAGGGAAATGTGTTGGCTTTTATCAATGGAGCCAGTTTCATCACTGTCCTGGTGAAAGCAATCAGATTTGAGGCTAAGATGTTTCCATCAAGTTACCTTTGAATTGAGAAAATATAACTCATCTTGTTTGTGCAAAATTGTCTTTAACCTCAGTGCTCCTCTCTGAGGTCACTCTCTTGCAATCCATTTACATGGCCACAGCTTGCTTCCACTGTGGATTTCAGACCAATGGTGACCTAATATGTAAATGCATTTAAAAAGCAGTTAGCCCCAGTGACAAACTTACCAATACAGTATAAGAGAAAGCCCTCAGATGGTAACCACTGAGGTATCTGCCAGAAAGAAAATCTGTTTGTAAGCTGGAGTGCTTTTCAGAGAGTCGAATCATTCAAGGAATCAGAAAATTGCCTAGGTCTGGGAGCCATGAATGAGAGACCATGGAAATCCAAGAAAAAAACAGAAGAAGCAAATGTGATTTTTTTTTCATTGTCCCCTCTAACAGCTCTCAAGGCTGGTTATACAGCAGCTGGATGGGTAGGTCTCACATGCTTAAAGAGATCTTGTGCTTTCATCTCTCTGGCTCAAACTGACCACCTAGTCTATGAGTCACTGGGATGGAGAGAAACTTAGCTTGCTGCCCTCTTTGGTGGAGGAAGCCCTGCTCCTCCGCCCAGAAGCAGGGAGACTTTGAGAACGTGTGTGTGTGTGTGTGTGTGTGTGTGTGTGTGTGTGTGTGTGTGATTACATTTTTACTCCTTCTCCTCAGGGATAAAGAGGTGACTTAGGGTCCTCTCTCAGTTCTAGTATAGGCAGCATGATGGGGACAAAAGCATTCCTGGAATGGGAGGTAAAGGAGTTGAGTTCCGATCATCAAGAATTGTTTCCCTCCCTGGAATTTGGCAATATATTATATATAATAGTAATACTTTGATAATAACAATCCCAATCTCTTTTAATTTTATAATGCTTCATGACTTCAAAACTTTTATCTAAACTATTTTTTGTGAGGCTTATAACCATGTGAGATGGTTAGGCATATATTTTTACATATATTTGTTCTAAACTGAAAGGTAGTTATTTGTCACTATAAGTTATTTGTCACTATAAGTAATAAGTGACTTGCCCAAAGTCACACTAGCAGATAGGAAGGGCTCAAACACCAATGAGATTTCCAGTGCTCTTTTCAAAATCCTGATGTATTGCTAGAGGGTAATGATACCTGCCCTACATTACCCTTGTGGGCCTCAAAAGAAATAATGCTTTTGAAAGTACTTTGAAGAATATAAACTCACTGTATAGTTTTAAGTTTCTACAGTCCCCAATGGGTATGTGAATGTTCCATTTCCTATGTAGCTGGGTTCAAAACCAGTGACATAAATTCCTGGTTCCACCAGGTGTTCTGTTCTCTTTTCTGAAAGCAAATGCTAAGGACAAGGCCTCATCCAAAGATGAATTCAGAGAAAGAGAGAGAAATACAATAAAAATGACAAATAGATATTGGACAAAGACATAAAGTAAACATGGCAAGAAAGCAAATTGCTGCTGCCCTTCTCTGAACAGACAGAAAATGCTGAGCAATGACCAAAGAGGAGATGCTGGAAGGATGGAGACCAATGCCAGAGATGGGGATGGGATCTCAGAGCATGCTCCAAACTCACATAGCTTATATTAACTATGACAGTTTGAGAGATGATGAGCTGGAACTGTTGACAGCTGAAGACAGGAAATGGAAAGAGAAGGCCATCTCTCCCAGGATTACGTTCAACAGCATAGAAAGTTCTGGCCCAGGGATGAGCATCAGAGGAGCACAGAGGGAGTCTATGAGCATAACTGTTTGAACATATGTGTGCATACATATGTATCAGCTGCACCCCTTACCATTCATTTATCCATCCAGCTGTTTGTATCTCTCCATTCACGTATCATTATCTGCTGTGAGCTGGGCACTGGGCTAGGTACCGGGGTTGCAAAGATGAAAGACAAGAGTCCCTGTTCTCCAGAAACTCATGGTCTAGTAAAGAAGAAAAAGAAGTAAACAAATGTTCACATCATATACTTGTGCTACAAACCAAGTAAGGGCAGCTACTATGGGTGCTCAGATGAAGGCCACCAAAGTCAGAATGGAGTGAAGGTAGGGAAGGGGAGAGAGAAAGGGGCTAAAGACAGGAAGAGCTCCTGTGAGGAGCATGAATTCCATACTAGCTATACCACAGCATTTAGGGGCTTGCTTTTAGAATTTCTGTGAGACATTACACAAAAGTTCAAATCAGGAGCTTTATCCAACTCAGCCTGTGCTTTTCAGTACAAACTTCTCCTTCCACTTTGCCCCTGCCACACAGAACTCTGCTTTACCAATTAAAGGATTATTACAGTTTTCTCCAAGTGCTCTTCTTTGCCACGACCCACTAGTTCCAACATCTTCTGAGACTCAGGATTTCAGGGTGTCTGATCTGCCCACTCTGAGCCAGCCTACCCATCACATCATTACCATCATCTGATCATCCCACTCATGACACATGTTTAGGTGCTGAGGGAGAGAAGAGAATGTTTTCTGTTTGGCTATGGACCACTGTTTTTTACTTCTGGTCAAAGCCGCTCTAAATTTGCAGCTACATTTTCTACCAAAAGAGCAAAGGGCAGCTGGTTTTAGCTCTAGTATCTCTCTGCTTGCACTGCCTCTGCTCTCTAGCATGTGTTCTTTGCATCTCTTATCAAGAATGTCTCTTTTCCTTCCTTTGTCTCTTACCTCTGATCTAGGGTATCTTTTATGGACTCTTCCTCTGCATTTTGGATTTTCTATCATAGATTCTGTTAACTTTCCTGTTATGCTATTAGAGATTCATCCTGAATTCTTTTACACTTCGTCTGAAACTTGACTTTCTTCTCCTATATCCTCAGTTTGATCAGTGAAAATTGTTAAATATTCTCAATTCTGCCCTTATCTGGCTCAGTTGAAGGAACTCTCTTCTCTGGGCTAGTTTAGCATTCTTTATAATACTCTCCTACAGTCTACGCACATTCATCATATATTGATCTTCAGCACACATTTAAACAATTAATACTCAATATTTATAGTGTAAGAAAATTTTACCTTCTTGTTGAAGTGAGTTGATTGTCAGTTTGCCTAAAAGCAATTTGGCTAAAGCAAATTATCTTGATAATCAATATTGTAGTTTGCCTAAAATTCAACTCTTATAAAAACTCTCTTTACATCATTTTAAAAGATCTTATTTTATAAAAACATTTCTGCCACATTTAGTAGCTTTTTAGGTAATTTTAAGCAATTGTCCAAAAAGTATTACTAACTTAATTTTGTATTTTTAATAAGTGTGGATTAAATTTCCATCATTTTATGAATGGTAGGATTGTTTGGAATCCTTGTGAATAGTTTTTATATTTATTTTATTTTTGGATACCAGGATTTTACCTAGATTTCCTAAAGACTTTATTTTTCAAAATTTTTTCTTCAATAAATATATACAAAGTCTGCATAAAACTGATTTTTCGTAACTTTTTGTTACTGATAAAAAGCTTGCAAAATGACCTATCTTTCCCCATTTCTCTATCATTTGGGGAGAAGAACATAATTTTCTCCAGATGTTCATCCTCATCCTAGTTCTTGTTACCCGGTGTTCTCTTCGTCATGTGTTATTTTGGGGCCTAGAGTAATTTCATAAAGAGGAACAGGCTGCAGGTCATGTCTATTGGCCAATTTGTGCGATTTTGGTCAGATGGACCTGGACTAAAAGTATAAATCACTTAGGGCCTGGAAAAGCCATGAGATCTGTTGAATCTGTGTTGAGATTTTTAAAAATTAAATTAAACATCCAAATTCCTTTCTCAGAGAGATTTTTTACATGGATTTTTAAAGTAAGTGTACAAATTCTCATGGCTAAATTGTTTCACAAGAACATTTTAATGGGGTCATTTGTGTCCTACTTGTCACAAATCAGAGGAAACTTGACATTTGTTTTACTTAAAGCTCTCTTACATTGTGTTGATCTTTCAAGTGATTCTCAATTTCCCATAAAGCATTTTCCAGATTTACCAGGTACCCTGTGACGATACACAGATGAGTCAACTTTCTACAGTTCCTGTTTTACAGCAACACATAAGAATTAAATAATATGCAAAAAACAAATGACAGTGGAAGTGGGAAATGAGAGTGAGAAATAATAATGGATACATACATTACATAAATGCATAAAAGAATATAGCAGCCTTTAATGGATTAATAGAAATAGTATGCCATAAACCAAGATGTACTATTAGCTCATTTCTGTGCACTGGGCTTTATTTATTTTTTCTAATAAGGGTAATAATTACATGAAGAGAAACAAAATTAATAACTATTTTAAAAAATGAAAGGGTCTAAAGAACACTATAAAGGACAGAAGAAAAGCATAAAAGAACAAATATTTTAAAAAGTTGGTAATTTGAAAGCCCAAGATACAATGATAGAAGTATGTCAATAAGTAAGAATAACACATATAAATGATTTAAATGCTCCGTTAAAGAGAGATTTTTCAGAAAGAGGAAAAAAATCCAGTTATTTGCTGTTTGCAAGAGACAATACCTAAAACACACGAGACAAAATAATTGAAAGTAAAAGAGAAATAAGGATATTAGACAGAATGCTTACCAAAGAAAGGTGGTAGTAATAAATTTCTAATGAACATTATTTTAAATTGACAAACCATAATTTTGTACATTTACAGGGTACAAGGTGATGTTTTGATACATGTATACAATGTGGAATGATTAAATCAAGCTAATTAACAGCCATCACCTCACTTGCTTATCATTTTTTGTAGTGGGACATCTAAAATTGACTAAGTTATTTTAAATCTATGATACATTATTGTTGACTAAAGTCACCCTATTGTGCAATATATCTCAACAGTTAATAATATTTAAAAAGCTTTATTGAGATGTAGTTGATATACAATAAACTGCACACATTTCAAGTGTGTAATGTGATGAGCTTTGACATACATATACACCAATAAAATCATGACCATCATCAAAATAGTGAACATACCCATTACCTTCAAAAGTTTCCTTGAATGTCACTGTAATGTCTCCCTTCAACCCCTCACTGTCCGGCAAACATCAATCTATTTTTGTCACTATAGATTTGTCTGTATTTTTCTAGAATTTTCTAGAAAATGTAAGAATGTTGTATATAGCCTCTTTTTTTCTGGCTTCTTTCACTCAGCATAATTACTTTTGAGATTGATCCACTATTACTAGAATTATTCATTCATTGTTGCATAATATTCCACTGTAGAATATAGCACAGTTTGTCTAGCCATTCACCTGTGAATGAGCATGTGGGTTGTTTCCAGTTTGGGGCTATTACAAATAAAGCTGCTAAGAATATTTATGTATAAACTTTGTAAGGATATATACTTTCAATTTTAGGGGCCAAATGCCTAGAAATGGAATGTATAAAACCTAGGTAGGTAAATGTTTAACTTTTTAATAAAATGCAAGACTGTATTTCAAAATACTTATACCATTTTACATTTCAGGTAGCAGTGTATGAAAAGTTCCTTCATTTTCTTGTCATCACTTTGTGTCCGGAATTGGTGAGTTCTCGGTCTCACTGACTTCAAGAA